>NT_187565.1:0-292436 GCF_000001405.40 Homo sapiens
CGTGTTTGCAGATGTCACCTGTAATGGGGAGATTCTTAAATGGGACACATAGGCCATCCTAGGGCTTAGGTATCTTCAGGTCTATCCCTGAAATCACATTCACCTATTACATGCGTATTCTGGGAACAAGTCCACTGCGTTTGTATCAGAAGCTATATGGGGAATGTGGATTTGGAGCCAGCTGGATGTGGACGAGGAATCCTTACGATAGCTCCACGACCTTGGTCAAGCAATGGTCTTCCTGAGCCTTCTCTGTAAAAATGAGATAAGAATAGTGCCCAGCTCAGAGAATGCTGTAGGTTTCAATGAGATTATGTATGCCAAGTTCTTATAGTGCCTAACCCACCGTAATTGCTTAATTTTTAAAAATGTGTGTGCGTGATATTACGAGTTTTAGTCTGTATCCTATAGATGTCTCAGCAGTGCTGATTTCACAACTTCAGAATACAGATACCTTCAAAGTCGTAGATGTGGGTTTTGAGCCACGTGCCACATTGTGTTCTGTGAGAAACGGGGGATGGTGGAGGTGCCTCCGCCCCTCGCTCCCGGCGAAGGCAGCCTCTTGGTGGCTTTCCCTGTCATCATGACCTTGATTTGATTCCTAGTCCCTTAGGCGCCCCCAGTGGCTTACAGCTCAATGCTCAGTAAATATTCCAAGTTCCTGCGCCTCCCCAGCCCTTCTGTCCCCTGGGCACAGGCTGAACACACATCAGCCCCGGCGGAGACAGCCCTGGACTCCCTGATGTCTCCTGTGGGGCTCAGCCAGCATTAAAGACATGAGCGGAGACCCAGGGTTGACCAGTTTTGAGCCCGTCCTCATTCTCATTGGGGAGCTGTTATTAATAAAATCCATACACAATCAAGAGTACAGCACCAGTGTTTTTCATGAAATTCAGCTCCCCACACTCCCTAAGGAGGAGCTGACCAGGGAGAGGCAGATGTCCTAGCTCCTTGAAAGCCTTCCCCGGGGAGTCAGCTGTATGAGATGGGAACAGAGGCGTGGAGGGACGCGGTCCCACCCCACCAGCCTTTGATCTGCAACGTTTGATTTGCGACGTGGCTCCACCACACTGGGCTTTGATCTGCCCTGGAAGAGACGTTCAAACCACAGCCAGAGGGTCATGTGATGGTGTCAGTTATTGCCGATGAATGAGCATGCACCAGGGCCGCAAACCATCTGGACATGGTGTAACCTGAACCCAGCGCGCCCTGAACCATCCAGACATGGTGTGACCTGAACCCAGCACCATGAACCATCCGGACGTGGTGTGACCTGAACCCAGCACATGAACCATCCGGACATGGTGTGACCTGAACCCAGCACTCTGAACCATCCGGACATGGTGTGACCTGAACCCAGCGCATGTACCATCCAGACGTGGTGTGACCTGAACCCAGCACGTGAACCATCCGGACATGGTGTGACCTGAACCCAGCCCCCTGAACCATCAGGACATGGTGTGACCTGAACCCAGCGCCCTGAACCATCCGGACATGGTGTGACCTGAACCCAGCGCCCTGAACCATCCGGACGTGGTGTGACCTGAACCCAGCGCCCTGAACCATCTGGACGTGGTGTGACCTGAACCCAGCACCTGAAGCATCCAGACGTGGTGTGACCTGAACCCAGCGCCCTGAACCATCCGGACATGGTGTGACCTGAACCCAGCACATGAACCATCTGGACATGGTGTGACCTGAACCCAGCACGTGAACCATCCAGACGTGGTGTGACCTGAACCCAGCACCCTGAACCATCCGGACATGGTGTGACCTGAACCCAGCACATGAACCATCTGGACATGGTGTGACCTGAACCCAGCACGTGAACCATCCAGACGTGGTGTGACCTGAACCCAGCGCATGAACCATCCAGACGTGGTGTGACCTGAACCCAGCGCATGAACCATCCAGACGTGGTGTGACCTGAACCCAGCGCCCTGAACCATCTGGACGTGGTGTGACCTGAATCCAGCCCCCTGAACCATACGGACATGGTGTGACCTGAGCCCAGCACGTGAACCATCTGGACATGGTGTGACCTGAACCCAGCACGTGAAGCATCCGGACGTGGTGTGACCTGAACCCAGCGCCCTGAACCATCCGGACGTGGTGTGACCTGAACCCAGCACGTGAACCATCCAGACATGGTGTGACCTGAACCCAGCGCCCTGAACCATCTGGACGTGGTGTGACCTGAATCCAGCCCCCTGAACCATACGGACATGGTGTGACCTGAGCCCAGCACGTGAACCATCTGGACATGGTGTGACCTGAACCCAGCACGTGAAGCATCCAGACGTGGTGTGACCTGAACCCAGCGCCCTGAACCATCCGGACATGGTGTGACCTGAACCCAGCACGTGAACCATCTGGACGTGGTGTGACCTGAACCCAGCACGTGAACCATCCAGACGTGGTGTGACCTGAACCCAGCGCCCTGAACCATCCGGACGTGGTGTGATCTGAACCCAGCGCCCTGAACCATCCGGACGTGGTGCGACCTGAACCCAGCACGTGAACCATCCAGACGTGGTGTGATCTGAACCCAGCGCCCTGGATCTGTCCCTCTTCGTCCCCTCAATGGCGCCCAGACCTTCCACATTCATAAAAGGCACGTGTCTTTGGGTATCATATGTTTGTTTTGATTTATTGAATATGAGTTATTTTAAAATAAACTACAAATGTATCATCCTTTGCTCTGCTGAAAAGATGAATCACTTTAGCAGCTGCAGAAGACAGTTCCTTTCAGCCTTGGCACTCGGCTTTGCTTCGTTATAATTTCCAGTTTTCTATTTGTCTTTGCTTAAAATGCAGAAAGGAACAGCGATGATGCTGATAGAATTTTCATTGAATATTCAGCTTTCCTTTTGTGAAAATGCTTTTTGTCACCTAACAAGCATTTTGAAAATGTTCATGCCCTTTGGTCTTGTCACTCTAATTCTGGGATACAATCCATAAAAATAAGTAAATATTCAGAAAAAGCTTCAAGTAAAGCATATTTACTGCTATTTTATTTATAAAAGCAACTTAAGCACTACCACACTTAAAGTATGAGAGTAAACTACATCGTTCGTGGGATACAATCACACATAGCCCTTCAATGTGTTGTTTTATAACATTTCTGAAAACGTGGAAAATGCTAGAGCGTCCATCTGTAGCTAAAGTAACGTTCAAAGTGATTGTCATTCACGACGGAGTTCTAGATGCCTATTATCTTCCTGCTTCTTTTATAGAGTCCAAATTTTCTATGACAAGTATGTGGCCTTCTTGATAATAGGAAAAGTTCTTTCAAAATTACTATTGCCCTGTCCTTAGAGCAGCAGGAAAGTGAGACACCTCAGAGCATTGTGACTGCGCGGCTGTCTCCTGCAGTAGCTAAGTACAGCAATTTCCAGAACAAAGGGCTCTGTGGTTGCCAGTGGTCATTTAAGGAGTCCACTGCAGGCTTACATTTCCAGGAGAGATTTTTTGTTAATATGCTTTTGAGTAGAGCCTGTGCTGAAGATGATGGAAGGCCTGTCTGGATTCTGCTGTGCAGGTATCTGGTATCCGGGGCTGTGGAATTGCTTCAGAGGAACCCATTAAAATGATCCCATCAGTAATTGAGGTGCAGCACGGAGAGGAGACAGTGAGAGTGTGCAGGTGTGTGGACCGTCACCTGGGCTCCAGCGCTAACGTAAAGATGTGAGGATTTGCTGCATGACAAGACCACAGTCCCCACGCAAACCACGAGCTGTCAACTCACCGCTTTCAGTGTTGCCTGTTTCTCTCAATTCTTTTTATTGCTCTTCTGTCCATCACAACACATTTTTCCTATCTTGTTCATTCGTTGTTTATTCTTTATTATTATTGTTATTATTATTTTGCTCTGTCACCCAGGTTGGAATGAAGTGGCACCGTCTCAGCTCAGTGCAGCCTCAGCTGCCTGACCCTCCCACCTCAGCCTCCCGAGTAGCTGGGACCACAGGCAGGTGCCACCACGCCCAGCTAATTTGCGTGTTTATTGAGAGATGAGGTCTCACTGTGTTGCGTAGGCTGGTCTGGAACTTCTGGCCTCCCACCTCAAAGTGCTGGGATTACAGGCATGAGCCAGAGCTTCTTTTCTCCTCATTCTTGACCTTCTGTGTTCCTTTACTTTGTTTTTGCCTGCCCATCTTTGCACCAGATTCTTAGGGCTCAAAGCCAGCAAATGCCAGGTTCTTGGCTCCACCTGCATCCCGATTTATTTCCCTTGCTTTTTGGTGTTTTTCCATAATTTAGCACTATCATGCCCATGCCATTTAACAGGTTATCTGTAGTATAAATTCTGCCATATTTTTTATGTAATTGAATTCCACGTGGCTGGAATGAGGAAACTTGGCTCTTGCATCGTATTTTTCTGAGTGTTCTGTTGTGTTGGTCACGTTCCCAATGGCTCCCATCGTGGACTGAGAATATAAGTAGATGACTAAACTAGAGGTCACACATCTCAATATCTACCATATGAATTGTTTGCCATGATTCATTGTTAAAAAATAAAACAGTGCATACATTTATTTTTTTAATAATGTCTTTTGATTTATTTTTCTCAAAAAGCTCAGTCATACTTCAAAAAAGACACTAACAAATGAAAATAAGACTGTGCGTTTAGATTAGTTTTGGAAGATATTTGAGAAGAATATGCTTATGAGTAGAGCCTGTCCTGGAGATGATGGAAGGCCTGTCTGGATTCTGTTGTGCAGGTATCTGGTATCTGGGGCTGTGGAATAATAATAGTCCACTGCCCACGTGAACAAGACACACCTGTCTGTGGAAATAATTCTGCTGATTCATACAATAATCACTGCTTTTTCAGAGGGGAAAAAAAGCTTGTTATAGGTTGCTTTAATGAAGTGATAGGCCATAAATACACCTTAAATACTTCTATTTTTCTGGCTCATGCCTGTAATCCCAATACTTTAGTAGGCTGACACAGGAGGATTGCTTAAGCCCAGGAGTTCAAGACCAGGCTGGGCAACATAGCTAGACTTCTTCTCTACAAATAATTTAAAAATGAGCTGGGCGTAGTGGCACACACCTGCAACCCCACCAATCCTTGCAAGGATTACCTGAGCCCAGAAGGTTGAGGCTGCACTGAGCTGTGATTGCACCACTGCCGTCTAGTCTGGGCAACAGAGACCCTGTCTCAAAGAAACACCCAAAACCTTTCTATTTTTGACTTGTTCACTTCCATTTTTCTTTTATAATTCACCAACTGATATGGTTTGGATCTGTGACTGCACCGAAATCTCACCTTGAGTTGTAGTAATCGCTGTGTGTCAAGGGCAGGACCAGGTGGAGATCATTGAATCATGGGGTGGTTTCTGCCATGCTGGTCTAGTGATAGTGAGTTCTCACAAGATGTGATGGTTTTATAAGGGGCGTCCCCCTTTGCTTGGCACTCATTCTCTCTCCTGCCGCCCTTGTGAAGAGGTGCCTTCTGCCATGATTGTAAGTTTCCTGAGGCCTCCTCAGCCATGCAGCTCTTTGAGTCAATTAAACTTCTTTACTTTATAAATCACCCAGTTTGGGGCAGTTCTTTATAGCAGTGTGACAGCCGACTAATATACCAATGAATACAATGTATATAGAAATCGAAATGCAAAGAGAATGAAGGAAGAAGGTGGGTTCAAAGCAAGCTCTACCAGTTACCATCTGTGGAAGAGCTTTCCCCGTAGACTGTTTTCTTGTTTGTAAAATGAGGACATTGCATAAATGGAGGACCGAGGCCTGTGTCTGGGATGCGGAGGTGCTTGACAGTGAGAGCTTTCCCCTCTCCATGCCCATACCCTCCTCTGCTGCTGTAATGATCTAGTCTGACCTGAACTGTGTATCCGTGCTGGGCTGTACAGCATCTCACACTCAGTCCCTATGAGAACAGTAACATATCTCCAAGGCATTAAGCAGAGCAACTGGAGTGTTAATCCACACTTATCTTCAAAGTGCACCCTCTGTGCTGTACTGAACTACTTCCCCAGTGTCTCTGGATTCAACTCAACTCCTGTGGAAGGATTAGAGTTGTTAGGCCGTATGGGGAAAGTGACTTGATTTGCACAAGTGCATTCGAGGAGAAAACCAATTCTCAGTAGAATGAGAACGTTAAATACAATGAGGGCTTATGCTTGAACTGGCCATCAGCAAGTTATTTTAGGCAGTTATAAACCTTAGCAAATTATTTTTAAAAAGAGAAGGTCAGTTTTATAACGTGAACCAGCTGCTTCATTTGTTCAACTCAGTGTTGTGTGTGTACATGGTTCTATTAGGGGAACTGGTTTCGGTTCAGTATGTGTGTGCATGGTTAAGAGGGGAACTAGTTTCGGTTCAGCGTGTGTGTGTGTGTGTGTGTGTGTGTGCGCGCGCGCGCGTGGTTCTGTTAGGAGGGGAACTAGTTTTGGTTCAGTGTGTGTGTGTGTGTGTGTGTATGTGGTTTTGTTAGGAGGGGAACTAGTTTTAGTTCAGCGTGTGTGTGTGTGTGTGGTTGTTAGGAGGGGAACTAGTTTCGGTTCAGCGTGTGTGTGTGTGTGTGTGCGTGGTTCTGTTAGGAGGGGAACTAGTTTTGGTTCAGCGTGTGTGTGTGTATGTGGTTTTGTTAGGAGGGGAACTAGTTTTGGTTCAGCGTGTGTGTGTGTGTGTGGTTGTTAGGAGGGGAACTAGTTTCGGTTCAGCGTGTGTGTGTGTGTGTGTGTGTGTGGTTCTGTTAGGAGGGGAACTAGTTTTGGTTCAGTGTGTGTGTGTGTGTATGTGTGTGTGGTTCTGTTCGGAGGGGAACTAGTTTTGGTTCAGCGTGTGTGTGTATGTGGTTCTGTTAGGGGAACTAGTTTCGGTTGAGTGTGTGTGTGTGTGTGTGTGTGTGTATGGTTCTGTTAGGAGGGGAACTAGTTTCGGTTCAGTGTGTGTGTGTGTGTGTGTGTGTGTATGTGTGTGTGGTTCTGTTAGGGGAACTAGTTTTGGTTCAGCGTGTGTGTGTGTGTGTGTCTGTGTGTATGTGTGTGTGGTTCTGTTAGGACGGGAACTAGTTTTGGTTCAGCGTGTGTGTGTGTGTGTGGTTGTTAGGAGGGGAACTTGTTTTGGTTCAGCATGTGTGTGTGTGTGTGTGTGTGGTTTTGTTAGGAGGGGAACTAGTTTTGGTTCAGCGTGTGTGTGTGTGTGTGTGGTTGTTAGGGGAACTAGTTTCGGTTGAGTGTGTGTGTGTTTGTGTGGTTCTGTTAGGGGGACTAGTTTCGGTTGAGTGTGTGTGTGTGTGTGTATGGTTCTGTTAGGAGGGGAACTAGTTTCGGTTCAGTGTGTGTGTGTGCGTGTGTGGTTCTGTTAGGAGGGGAACTAGTTTCGGTTGAGTATGTGTGTGTGTGTGTGTTTCTGTTAGGAGGGGAACTAGTTTCGGTTGAGTGTGTGTGTGTGTGTGTGTGTGTGTGGTTAGGAGGGGAACTAGTTTCGTTTCAGTGTGTGTGTGTGTGGTTGTTAGGAGGGGAACTTGTTTTGGTTCAGCGTGTGTGTGTGTGGTTGTTAGGAGGGGAACTAGTTTCGTTTCAGTGTGTGTGTGTATGTAGTTGTTAGGAGGGGAACTTGTTTTGGTTCAGTGCGTGTGTGTGTGTGTGGTTGTTAGGAGGGGAACTTGTTTTGGTTCAGTGTGTGTGTGTGTGTGTGTGGTTCTGTTAGGAGGGGAACTTGTTTCAGTTCAGTGTGTGTGTGTGTGTGTGTGTGCATGGTTCTGTTAGGGGAACTAGTTTCAGTTGAGTGTGTGTGTGTGTGTGTGTGGTTAGGAGGGGAACTAGTTTCAGTTGAGTGTGTGTGTGTGTGTGTGTGGTAGGAGGGGAACTAGTTTCATTTCAGTGTGTGTGTGTACGTAGTTAGGAGGGGAACTTGTTTCGGTTCAGTGTGTGTGTGTGTGTGTGTGGTTCTGTTAGGGGAACTTGTTTCGTTTCAGTGTGTGTGTGCGTGGTTGTTAGGAGGGGAACTAGTTTCGGTTCAGTGTGTGTGTGTGTGGTTGTTAGGAGGGGAACTAGTTTCGGTTCAGTGTGTGTGTGTACATGGTTCTGTTAGGTTCTATTACACAGTGTTCATTCCTCCATAGGCTTCAAATGAATTCAGTTGCTCGGCTTGTTTTGTAGAAAATTGTATAAGATTTTTAACATGAAGTTCAGTACTTAGAAAATGCAAGTCATTTATGCATTAGAGTTACTGAATTTAAGAAAACCTCTAAGGAAAACAAAAATCCCTTTGAATCTGTTTTCTTTTGACATTGGCAGATAGAGCCGGTATTGCTTCTGTCTGGGAACTGGCAATGCTGATGTACTCCATGAAGGCCCCTGAATTGAGACCCCAGGCTGTTTTTAGCCTGGAGAAAGCCAATGTCTGCATTTAGCTGTGTTTATGTCCTAGTAACCAGTATTGGGAGTGAAGGATTCATCAAAAACCATTTAAAGATTGGATGAGGTACATGGATCAGTAAGTTTGCTATAGGATTGCTAATACATAGAGACAGCTACTTATTTGACCAAATTGGAGGAAATGAAAATTATTACATGTAGAAGACACATTTAACAAGTCCTGGTTTTTCAGTGGAGATACAGGGTTGCCACCTCAATTCCACTGTTAGTTCAGAGTGGTTGCTACACACATGCCCTGTCTATTTTGCGGGGTTCCCTTCTTCTATTTTTAAGCCCCTCTGCACACTGGACAGTATCAGTAAGACTCACGTGCGGGGATAGAGCTGTAAAAGCTCATACCTTGCTCCTTTCGTTCCTTGTGGATGCCAGCAGCTTTGCCATGTCATTTTCAGTGCAGCCTTGGGAATATCTGTCCCTGGGGGCTGGCCTGGCTAGCGTTCCTACATAGTCCCTGCTGCCTTTGAGATGGATGGTGAAGCCTCCACTGTGCAGTGTTCTCACAGAAGTACCCCCCCGAGGCTAATGTTGTGAGACTGTGCAACCCCAGGAGAGCCCGGCCTCCCCCGCGAATGCAGGAATTGCTCTGCTGCGGACCACAGATGAGGAGGAGGAGAACCTGCTCATGATGTCTGAACACAGGATTTCAGCAGTGATGGGAATTTAGAGAATCTTTCCTAAGATATTTAAGATGATTTGTAAGTGGTTTTATCCAGTTCAGTATATTCTTGACCATCTATTGATACTCAAGACAGATCAAATGGTAGGTCCTGGGGATAAGATATAGGCAGAAAGGAAGGGGTAGCTGCTGAAAAAGGTTCTATGCACCAAGAAGAAAACTAACCACTGTTCAGGGTCCCTGTTGTGTTATCTCAGTGACGTGATTGGTGTTGGGAATTTATTCCTACCTGGGCTGCAGGTGCTGAGGAGAGAAGAGGCTCTGACTCTATTACATAACGTGTGACATGAGTCATCACAGGCCTCTGTAAGCAGATCTAGTCAGCTAGACTCGAACAAAATGAAGACAGGGAGTTAGCAAAGCTGAGAAAGTCGGGAAAGGAATCACGTCCGTCGCGCTCCTGACGTGGCTACACACGGTGCATCCAATTCCATCGAGTTGTCATTTACAACACACCTGCAGTTTGCATATGATGGTCCCGCTTTACAAATGGTGCCTACATAGTGACGGCAGGGTTTGAACATCGGGCTGTCTGACCAGCACACCTGCACTCCTGCCATTCCACGAGACTGTTGACCAGATCTTTAACAGCTTTTAATTCTCATCAGAGGATAAAATCATATAAGGCTCTAAACCCTTTATAATGAAGGGATCAAAGGTTAGTAGTTATAAAAGAGACAAGTCACCCGCAGAGACCTTTAGAAACAAGTGCTCCCATGGGGAGACAGCGGAGACACCAGAAAGACCAGAAAGGCAGAGGCCTCCGTGGCAGGACGGTGGCTGACCTTTAATTTCCTCCCATCCACTTTCCTGTGTTTTCTGGGAGATTTTTTAGACTATGTATACATTTTACATTCCAGACAGTATGTAGTTAAAATGCTAAAATGCTGCGTGCACAAAGCTTATGCTCAGGCCTGATAGCTTGGAGCTGTCAACATAAACAATACTGTGTAAGGTGGTGTTTTAAAGAAATGGCATTACTTTTTGCTATTGTGGAAAAATAGACATAACATGAAATTTACTACTGAACTATTTTTAGTGTACCGTTCACTGGTGTTAAGGACATTCACAATATTGTACAACCACCTCCCCCATCCAGCCACAGAACTTTTTCTAGTAGACCAGCCCTACAAGTAATACTAAAAGGAGTTCTAAAGCTTGAAACAAAAGGTCTATAGGCACCAGAATAGAACCTCCTGAAAACATAACAGTCACAGGGCCTATAAAATAATAACATCATGAAGAAAACTTAATATCTAGGTAACAGTCATCACGATGATTGGAAATGGACCTCACGTCTCAATATTAATGTTGAACATAAATGGTGTAACTGCTCCAGTTAAAAGTTACAGATTCACAGAATGGATGGAAAATCACAAACCAAACATCTGCTGTCTTCAAGAGAACTCTGCTAACATGTAAGGATTCTCATGGACTCAAGATAAAGGGATGGGAAAAGTGTGAAAATGGAAACCAGAAGCAAGCAGGAGTAGCTATTTTTCTATCATGGGCATTACTCTCTAAAGTCACAATTTCTACATGTGAGAGTGAATTACTGGTCAAAGGGAAAATTTTGCATGGCGAGGCAAGAATGAAAGGCAGACGTATGGCTCCCTTCAGTGCCATATTTCCCGTGTGGAGGAGAAGCCCATGACACAGAGGGTTTTGTGGTATATTCGAAGCCCTGCCATTCCTAATCCGGGGTGATTCTGGGGAAGCCCCTGCCTACTCTTAGCATATCTCCTATCTTTAAAATTACGGGATCAGGCTAAGGGATCTCCAAATATCTTCCAGTTTAAAATCTAAGATTCTATAAGTGGATGTCCCAGCAGAGCTCATCCTGCTCAAAGTTGGGTGTTCCAGTGTGCTTTGGACCCCAACACCACACCCAACATTGAGCCCCCGGGGGCCAGTTTTCATCATACGAGCAAATCCATCTCACTGCCCTCCAGCCACACTTTGTACTGCTCAGCAGGCCATATGGCTTAGTCTAATCACCCAGCCTTCTCTCCAGTCTTGCCCTTGACTAACTTTTGACTATTACAAAATGTTCACTCTCAAAAGACTCTTAATCACACAATCCAGGGGCCTGAAAGATGTAGGGACATGAGAGGCTTTCAATAAAGATGTGGAAAGCAAATGCTAGGGGTTGAAATGTTTAGAGATGTGACATCAATAGGGAAGATTCAGTAGAATGTTCCAACTCTGAAGACAGATGAATTGTGGTGTGTCAGCTAAGCCTGTGTTATTAAAAACAGCAAAAACCCTGGACACCCTCCAGAATCGCTGGCTTTGGGGGGAAGCATGCTTTGCTCATGCACCCCCTCCTCTGTTGGCTGGAAAGTGAGCTCTGTCACCTGTACTCAAAAACAACAAAGGTATTGGGTTCCCTCTGCCCTGGCTCTTTCTGGCCAAGGAATGTGGAAGGACAGGAGGAGAGGTGGACCTAGCATGTGGTCTGACATCCTGTGGATCATGTCAGAGTCCCATCAGCCACCTGGAAACAGCTCATCCTGCCAGTCAGGGAGAGCTGCCTCCAGTTGGAGGATGGGACAGTGCGCTGTCTTTGGGCAGCTCAGAAGTGTGTGTGATCAACTTGACTTCTCAGGTGAAGAAACAGCTCATCTCTTTCCTTTCTCTAAAAAATTTTGATCTGTTCATTTTATACCTTTGTTAATAACTTCTGTATATATGTGGTATAATTTTATTTTAAATTCTCCCTGAAATATTTTTGAAAGTAGGTTGAGCAAAAAGACAACACATATTCTGTTACCCAATGTAACGGCCTCCGTCGCTCGGACGCTTTGTAGACTGAGAAAGGTCGCGTGGATGGGGCTTTACTTTTCTTCTGACCCAGGAATTATTTGGAGCTGGTCACATTGTGTTGCTGTCTCGAGCCTCCCCTTTCCACTCATGTCACCCCTCTTCTCGGAACGCCTTCCCAAGGTCTTTCATTTCACTCCTGCTCATCCACACATCCCAAGCCTACGCTGCCTCCTCCAGCAACAGTGCCCACCCCGTGCGTGGGTCAGGGTCCCCTCTGAGTGCTCCTAAGCACGTGTCCTCCCTGCATTAGGACCCTGGGCGTGTCCGTCTCCCCCAGAGCACAACGGCTGTTCCTCGTGTCTCTTTTTTCCACATGCCTAAGACAGGTGCTTATCCAGGCCTTTGAGTCCAAAGCAGCTGGAGTAAGTCAACCTGACCCACAAGTGGGGGAGAAAGGGGTACTCATGAGCAGGGTCTGCATTTTCAATCCTTGTGTGTCTGAAAATCCCTCCCTGTCTCCCCCTCTCTCTCTGTCTCTGTCTTCCTCTTTCCATCTCTTTGTCTTTTTGTCTCTGTCTCCCTCTCACACACACACATGGGCCCACATGCCCTCTCCCTCTCCTGGTGCAGTGCAGGGGGACTCAGGAGTGGAGCATGGCCCCCAGCCAGGCAGCAGCAGGCTGGGCTCCCGGACGGCTGAGCCATGGCTCCTTCCCTGTGCCTCCCTTTTCTGGGCTCCCGGACGGCTGAGCCATGGCTCCTTCCCTGGCAGCAGCAGGCTGGGCTCCCGGACAGCTGAGCCATGGCTCCTTCCCTGTGCCTCCCTTTTCTGGGCTCCAGTGCAGCTCATCTCAGTGAGATTAATGGCACAGGAGATTTTCCCATTATCTTCCTTTGGGCCTGGAATTTTTCGTGAAATAACCTACGTATTTCTTCATTTCCTTCTGTGCTAAAATTTATTTGTCACAGCCTCAGCCATTAACCTCCAATTTGAACAGAAAAAAAAAATTATCATGCCTGCTGTCTCTAGAATTTCTCAGAAGTCAGAGGAACAGTGCCCAGCCTGAGCCCTTCCCCATTCTTTATAATACAAACAAACGATAATTAACATTTCGGAGCTGGGGCGAAGTGAATCCCAGAGTCTCCTTCTTCACTTATTAAACATTTTCTTTTTATTGGATATTGTTAGTATTTCTTTCTATCTGTTATTCTTATTGAGCAATATATTTAAAAAATAGTTTATTGTCTTCAGAAACAGATGTGCTGAGGTCCTAAAGCTGATTGATTTTCATGCAAAACAAGTATCAGGCTGCGGATACCTTGCACCGTATTGGAAAGAAAGGTTGCAGCCTTTCCCGGGGTCTCGGAGCCCACACGTGAAGGTGGCTCGCTGCCACCAGGGCTCCCTGCCGGGCAGAGGGGAATGGACTCGCCCTCGCTTCCTGGAATTCCAACAAAACTATGTGGAGGAGCAGGTGGTCCCTCAGGGCAGACACATCACCTCCCGAAACTGTATGGAGGAGCTGGTCTTCCCTCAGGGTCCCACAGGGCCCACACATCCCCTCCCACCTCTCCCCTTGCCAGTCATTCAGGTTACAGGCCTTTCACAAGAATTTAATTGTCTTGATCACATTATACTTGGGCTGGTAAACATTGTCTTATTAAGGGAAAAAATGCCATGTTCACATTAGAACCTCGGAGAAGCCAGATTGTGATTGGCACTCTCCGTCGTCGTCCACGAGTGACTGGTGAGGTTGTTTTGGTGTCTCCTGTTTGAGGCATTATTTTCCCCATTTTTCTGATGAGTCACTGAGACCATGTGTTGAAACACATTCTCACCGTCACGTTCTAAGTGTGATTGGTGATGGAGGTGCATTTCTCTCCTGCGATTTTGTGAGCTCTTTACAGCGAGGATGGTGTGGCGTCCCACCTGTGTCGTGGCATCACTGGGTCAATGTCGAATTGGAATTTTAAAATTAAGAGTACATAGGCTTTTTATTATCTGTTACCAAATGTTTAAAATATAAAGCCATCCCATTGAAATAATGTTGTATGTGTGAGAGAGTTAGATTATAAAAGCTTATTTTGGCTGGGTGTGGTGGTGCACACGTGTAATCCTGGCACTTTGGGAGGCTGAGACAGTAGGATTGCTTGAGCCTCGGAGGTGCAGGTTGCAGTGAGCTGAGATTGTGCTGTTGCATTCCAGCCTGGGCGACAGAGCAAGATCTTGTCTCAAAACAAAAAAAAACAAAACTTTTTTTTTTAAGTTACTAATTTTGTTATGTAGCAGTTGATGACTTGTATATTGGATATGATATAAATTAAGATTTTACAAGATATTTAAACTTCACTTGAGGAAAAAAGGAGCCATATAATCATTGTTAATAGAAGGGTGATATCGCTGAGCAGAAGGAAAGGAAATAATTTTAAAAGGCAAACAGCAAACAGGAAATCTACTACCACGGGCTCATGTTGCAGTGGGGACTGTGGGCTGTTCTCAAACTCGTCTCCTTGGGTGTCTGCGTGTTCTGGCCTCCCTTGCAGCAGACAGACATGGCGGCAAGAGTGAGTGCCAACCAGACTGAAAGCAGGAACCTGAAAACCCCGAATCCTCCATGCCGTCTCTTTCTTTCCATGGGATAGATACACACAGCACATTTGCATATTGAAGATGACAGAGCCTTAAAAACCGAGCTTCCTGGTGACCGTGGGCCCGGAGTCCCAGCGTGGCAGCTGCAGGCTCTGCCCTCCTTGGTGGCTCTGGAGTTCTCCCTGGGAAGCTTCTTCCGGCCGCCAGGAGGGGAGGGAAGCCAGGAAAGGCTGTGGGCCCCCAGCCACGTCAGCGGGAAGCACACTCTCTGTCCACCGTGATCTGCTGGAGCACCCCAGCCATCCTGCCCCACCGAAGTGGAAGGGGCTCTGGTCAGCCCCCGCTCCTGGAAACAGCTCTCCACAAAGGCAGGGGAACATGTGTCAAGGTAGGATTATGCCTATAAATCCCAAAGGGCTTTGAAGTGTTTCGTAAAAGCCAATTTGGATCCTTTAAAAACAAATAGAAGAAAACCCACTCCGGGCCCCAGTCTCTCTGTGGGCCCAAGGGCAGGTGACGCCGGGCAGGGGAGCTGTGGGGTGTGTCCCAGCCATCGTCCCCTCGTGACAGGGAAGTGGGAAGAGATGTTCTGTTTTGCTCACAGCAGAAGCCATCATTTACACACCTTCTCATGGCACCTGCCTGGGAATTGGAAACGATTTCAGGAGCCTTAATTAATGAAGCGTCACAACATGCCTGCAGGCTACGTGAGAGTTATTATCCTGGTTTTGCCAGGAGACAGCCGGATGCGGAGGAGTGCAACTCGGATTTGAAGGTCACCGAGCGCGTTAATGAAATCCCCGGAAGTGTGTCTGCCAACAATCCTTTTATTTTGGCTTTACCTGCTGTTCGCCTGATGCCTGTAAACCTTTCCCGAGTGTTGATTTTCAGAAGGGTGCTTTGCAGGGTGGAGTTGGGGTGGATGAAATGCGGCCCCCGGGTTTCTGACTCCCTTTCGTGGCGCAGGTGGGCTGAGACCCTTGATGACCGAGAGGTTAGAAATCAAGGACATAAATTCAGCACTCTTGTTGAATAGATATGACCCTTGTTCCATCTTGGGTTCTTTTCTAGAACCTCAATTATAACTTTATAAATAAATTCCGAGTGCCTTAAAGAGACTTTCAGCGTTCCTTTAATCTCCCTGGCACGCTGGCTGCATGTGCCTTGTAACTTCCAAAAACAAAATATGTCATGATTATCCAGATCCAAGGGAGGTGTTATCATTGGAGATTTCTTAGCCCTCATATTGTATGTGTGTCTCCAGGAAGCAGAGCCTTGGTGCTCGTGCTGATCTTTGTCGCTGCCTATCTTGCAGAGTGTGCGTTTTATTAAATTCTTTTTGGGATTCTATATGAATAAATATTTTTCTGGGGTAGCATAAAAGCTGTTTTCATGATCTGTGCAAAGTCTTACTGGACGTGGAATTTTGGCAAATCCTGGGAACAGAGAACACAGCCCTTTCCTCCCCACTTTACAAAGGAGGCACTTAAAGCGTCAAAGGCTCTTTGGGTTCGCTTGCGGGAAACGTGGTAAGTGAGTCCCTGAACGTGCCACTGATGTGCAGATGGTGTGGTGGGTGCACAGCCGCACCGGAGCGGCCCCCGAACCACACAGGACAGTGCTGCGGAGGGGATGTTTCATGCGGGGCTCAGAAAGGCCGGGCTGGAATCCTGAGTCTGTGTAGGCTGTGTGGCACTGGGGTGGGGTGGAGGTCATTCAATCCCAAGGTGGAGTTGAGCATCCCGGATAATGGGAACTGGAGACCTCAGGGCCTGTGCTAAGGAAGGAACTCAAGGAGCCGGAAATACCTCAGATTGTGCCTGGCACAGAGCAGGTTCCCAGCACAGAGCAGGTTCCCGGCAAGCGCTGTTCCTCTTCTCCCTCTTTGCTGCGTGGTTTTCGTGAAGTTGGGGAGAGGAAACGTTTTTACAGCAATGCGGCAAGAATGCAATCACAGCGATGAGAATGACATGGACCTCCAGGTAGTGAGTTATCCCCAGTCACCTGTGAAAGGCATGCATTTGTATCCACAAACAAATCTTAACACATGTAAACGTACGTCAGAAAAACATGTCTCCCCTGCTGTTTAGGATGAGAATGTTCTAGAGTCTAGAGGTTGTTGGCCATCTCTCTAAGAACCAGAGCTTCAGTGAGAGCTTTAAATCATGTATTTCATGTGGTGAGAAACGTGGCATGCGCGAACAGACACCACGCGAGACAGGGAGGAGAAAGGTGGCATGCGTGAACAGACACTACACGAGACAGGGAGGAGAAACGTGGCAGGCATGAACAGACACCACGTGAGACAGGGAGGAGAAACGTGGCAGGCATGAACAGACACCACGTGAGACAGGGAGGAGAAACGTGGCAGGCATGAACAGACACCACGTGAGACAGGGAGGAGAAACGTGGCAGGCGTGAACAGACACCACGTGAGACAGGGAGGAGAAACGTGGCAGGCGTGAACAGACACCACGTGAGACAGGGAGGAGAAACGTGGCAGGCGTGAACAGACACCATGTGAGACGGAGGAGAAACGTGGCAGGCGTGAACAGACACCACGTGAGACAGGGAGGAGAAACGTGGCAGGCGTGAACAGACACCACGTGAGACAGGGAGGAGAAACGTGGCAGGCATGAACAGACACCACGTGAGACAGGGAGGAGAAACGTGGCAGGCATGAACAGACACCACGTGAGACAGGGAGGAGAAACGTGGCAGGCGTGAACAGACACCACGTGAGACAGGGAGGAGAAACGTGGCAGGCGTCAACAGACACCACGTGAGACAGGGAGGAGAAACGTGGCAGGCGTGAACAGACACGTGAGACAGGGAGGAGAAACGTGGCAGGCGTCAACAGACACCACGTGAGACAGGGAGGAGAAACGTGGCAGGCGTCAACAGACACCACGTGAGACAGGGAGGAGAAACGTGGCATGCATGAACGGAGAAATGTGGCGTGCATGAACGGACACCACGCGAGATAGGGAGGATTCAGGATGTGATCTTATTTCAGCATCTTTATAAGTGATCAAGTAAAAGTCATATAATTGAAGTTATCTAAACCCCCCATACACCAAATGCGTCCGCTTCCTGGTCTGTCGTCCTGCAGCCTACAGAGGCCGCGTCCTTCCACATGATGGCCCCGCACCTGGCACTGTCGCCGTCCCTCAGTGGAGACACCAGGAAGCCCTGGATCACAGTGTGACACGTTCTGTACTGGGGTATAAATACGGTTTCATGGGGACACACAGGAGGGAGCTGAGTGTGCTCCTCTGGCCCCGGAGAGTGCTGAGAGGCAGCGTACCCTGCAGAAGAGTGGCAGTCGCTGAGCGTGGGGGACGGCTCAGTAGGTACCTCGGCCACAGTCCTGCCCGTCCACATGTCCTGCAGAAGCATGGCAGGCGCTGAGCGTGTGGGACGGCTCAGCAGGCACCTCGGCCATGGTAGATGCCGAGGGCCCCAGGACAAGCATGCATGCATGCCAGAGGGGAACTAGAATGTCAAAAGGGCAAGACAATCCCTTATAAAAACTTTAAACTAAAGACTTCTATTTGCAAAGATCGTCTTGAGAGGCAATATAACGCTGGCCGTGGCAGCTCATGAACAGGTGCTGGTAATTCGAATGTCCCAGCGAACTCCCATGGGCAATAACACAGGCCTGAGGCAGGAACGGGGGGAGAACCCGGGGGGAGAACCTCTTCCCAGGGCCAGGGTCGAGCTGCGGCATTCACGTCTGTCTCAGTGGCTCGTGCTGAATGACCCAAAGGGGCCCAAGGGAGCAAAGGTGGGCAAAGGCTGTTACTGCCATCCGTCTAGACCAGTGCTGCCAGCAGAGAATGTGAGCCTTGTGGGTAACTTTTAATTTGGATTACTGACATCTAAATGTGTATGGTACAAAGAAGCAGGCAATATTAAGTATGATTTTGACCAAATGCAAGATGGCATTTCAGGGGCTCAGAGTGGTGGTGGGTACTGTGCAGGGCGGCACAGCTCTGGGCTCCGCCATAGATGCCAGTCCTGACCGTCCACAGAGGCCCCCACCCGAGGCCACCCAGGGTGCCGCATGGATGGTCTGTCTGGCCTCCCTGGATTTTCCAGTGGTGTCTCCACCATACAAGGGAATAAACAAGTGTGAAATCTGGAAACAGATTCTCATGGCCCTTCTTTCACATGTGGATCTCATCTAATGTTTTTCCATAAAATTGTGATGATGTTTAATAATACTCTTTGTGATAATCTTAGGAATCTTAGGAATGCCAGGTTGCATGAGGTGAGCATAAACGCATAGGGAGGAACGGTCCATGCCAACTGCAACTCGGTTTTCAGAATTCACTCGCACCTTTGGCTCAGTAACTAGCAGATTCGTTCCTGCTGGGATATTCATTTTAAAAGCTTGTCTTCTGATGTTGGCTGCAAATTAGAAGCAATAATGCTATTCCCTATCTAATATTTTTAAATTATTTTTTTAAAGTACTGTGAGCTCCTCAGAATAAAACCAAATGATATCGTAATTATTATCATCTACAATCCCCCCTGGACTGCACTTTTAAAGGAGGTCAAGAATGGATCTGAAGCAACTTTCTTATGTAAGTAAAATTTGAAAATCAACCCAAATGACTTTGTCTTAATCTGCTGGAACTCCCACAACAAAACACCATAGACTAAGCGGCTTAAGCAACATAAATTAATTTTCTCACCGTTCTGGAGGCTGATCAAGGCGTGGGCAGACCTGGCTCCTGGGGAGGGCCTCTTCCTGGCCACCTGCTCACTGTGTCCTCAGGGAGACAGGCTGGTGTCTCTTCCTGAAAGACCCTGATCCATTCAGATCAGTGTCCCCCTCTCATTACCTCAGTTTACCTTCATTACATCCTCACTTCAAACACAGCCACACTGGGCATTGGGTTCAGCATATCGATTTGTCAGGGAAACAAAATTCAGCCCCTAGCAATGTTCAAAGCCAATAGCACCGTTATACGTGTGTGTCTGTGTGCAAAGTGTGCATATGTGTACAATGTGTAGATGCACTCACATATATATATACATACACATACACGTGGGCTGGCCCCTGGAGTGGGTACTTGGACCCTCCAGGGGACTGAGGGGAAGGGTAGGAAAGGGGCCCTGGACTGGATTTTACCAGATGCGTTTTCCCTCCCTACACTGGCGTTTGCACGGCTGAAACACGGCTCTGCCCTCCCCAGATGCATAACAGGAGGTGAATGCCATCTTGCCTCTGTGAAGCACCTGGGGGCGTAGAGCCATGCTTCGTACTTGTCAAGTACTGACCGTCCCTCCTGTCCCTGTTCAGTCCCGGCGCGAAGCACACCCTGTCGTGTGTGGGGTCAGCACCCAGCACAAATCGGAGTTGGAGGCGAGGGGGCCAGTTTTTGGTGAGAACCCAGAGTCCAGCTTTGAGGTTCACCTCCTTGACATCTAAGCTGCAGCTTCCTGGACGTCGGCCTAGGAGACGGGGATGGTGGCATCCCTCGTGTTTTCTGAGACTGCACCATGAACAGGACGGGCCTCACATCCAGGGACACAGCACAGGAACAGCGAGAGCGGCCCCTAAAACCACGGTGTGTGTGGCATGTTGCAGTTCTGTTCATTTTCCATGTATGATTTCATCCTTGTCTTATTATCTAAGCAAGTATTTCCAGCCAGTGAGGCCGCGTAGATAAACCCTACAGCCTGCTGCATGAACCGAGCTCAGCGTCCTCCCTGTGGCTCGGTGTCCACTCTGTGCTCATCTGGTGGGGCTCACCACCCTCACATGCGGAACGCGTCCCTGTCTGGCCCCACGTGGCTTCCAGCTCCTGGCTGTGCGGCCTCTGCAGCTGAGTAACAGAACTGTCTGCCCCCCGCCCTCTGGCCATGGAAGAGGCCATGCCATTTCTCATAGGCAGCGTGGCTGTGTCCCATGGTTAGCCAAGTCCTTCTGGCTCCGCCAGTGCTGTGGATC
Source organism: Homo sapiens (assembly GCF_000001405.40). NCBI lineage: Eukaryota > Metazoa > Chordata > Mammalia > Primates > Hominidae > Homo > Homo sapiens. The sequence goes on from NT_187565.1 coordinate 20,403, forward strand.
CTCTGAGTTTGAGGTCCTTCTCCCATCGATACCTGACGTGGGAGCTGGACCTGAGCCCTCCTGCAGGACCCTGTCCTGACAGCACCACGTCCCACCCTTCCATGGAAGCTGCTGTCTCCTCCATGAGAGGCCTCTGCCTGGGCATCATGCTCGAGCTCCGGGGCCTAGGAGGCATGGAAAAGCTCATCTCTGCTGCAAGTTCTGCTCTCAACAGCAACTGATGGGCTTTGAGATTTAGAACACTCTCCAACCTCCACTTTTTTTTTTTCTTAATGAAGTTTTTTTTGAAGATGATCAGCTCAAGATAGGTCTGAGGTTCATGCTGGACATCAAGTGTGTGACACGAACACTTTCACTCTTTTTCTTGCTGTCACAATCTTGATGGTCCCGATCCTGCCTGTGCATGGGCGTCCCTGCCTGATGGACTCTGGGAGAGGGTAGAGGATAAGGAAGGGCCCAACATAAGCTTCACGTTTTACAAATAAACAAGTTGGAGATGATTCCAGGTTGGGATGAGTCCTGCAGAGGATGTCAGGAGGCCTCTGATGTTTGAAGGAGGCTCTGGGCTTGTTCTCGCCACAGCACCCCTCCCCTTCCCACGGCAGCAGAGCCACGGCCGGCTCCATTTCCTCATGCCTCCAGGAAGGGCTGTGACCACAGCAGAGGCAGCGCGGGAGGCCCCCTCAACACAACACGACATTTGCCGCAAGGGTTCTGCCAAGGTCCCAGGGAGGGGGGAGGAAGGACAGAAGTTCTAGGAGAGTAGTATGCACGGCCATTAAAATAATCTTTGGTAATTAAGTCAGGTGTCGTGATGAATTACTAACAACTAGGCATTCTGTTCTTAAACTCTTTTCCAACCTGTGTGTGCTGGGGGAAAAGGGTGCCTGTAGCTGGGAAGGGAAAGGGAAGCAGAAGCTCTATAAGTTCCTGAGCCTTGCTCCATACCTGGGACGGGACTCGGCATTTTCTGTGAGTTCCCGAGCTCTGCTCCATACCTGGGACCGGACTCGGAATTTTCTGTGAGTTCCCGAGCTCTGCTCCATACCTGGGACCGGACTCAGCATTTTCTGTGAGTTCCCGAGCTCTGCTCCACACCTGGGACCGGACTCGGAATTTTCTGTGAGTTCCCGAGCTCTGCTCCACACCTGGGACCGGACTCGGAATTTTCTGTGAGTTCCCGAGCTCTGCTCCATACCTGGGACCGGACTCAGCATTTTCTGTGAGTTCCCGAGCTCTGCTCCACACCTGGGACCGGACTCGGAATTTTCTGTGAGTTCCGGAGCTCTGCTTCATACCTGGGACTGGACTCGGAAGTTTCTGTGAATTCTCGAGCTCTGCTCCATACCCGGGACTGGACTCAGTATTTTATGTGAGTTCCCGAGCTCTGCTCCATACCTGGGACCGGACTCGGTATTTTCTGTAGGTTCCCGAGCCCTGCTCCATACCCGGGACTGGACTCAGCATTTTACGTGAGTCCTCTATTTAGTCATCAGATCGTCCTATGAGAATTGTGATATGACCCCAGTTACGGGTAACGGGCAGTGAGGTCGAAGGGAAGGGCTCTTGCCCCGCCTGGGGACCATGGAGCGACCTTGCCCAGAGCTTGGCTCTTCCCCTCGCCCCAGGAGGCCCACGCCTGACGGCGCCGCTGGAGTCGATTCTTTCCTGCTGTTCACAGCGCTTAGGTACTTTCCAAAACGTCTGGCTGTAACTCGCCTCCTTCTGCCGTGCTTTTGGTAGATTCAGTAAAACATGCACGTCCTTGGAGATTCCATCGCCGCAGGAGTCATTCCTTAGCTGTCGGCTGCAGGCTGTGAGGATGGGCCTTCGTAAGGACACAGATGGTTGGATGTTCCTGGACTCCACCTCGCAGGGGAGCGAGCGTCCTTGGAAGAGGAAAAAGCCAATGAATAAAAAGGAGGAAGGGGTGGGGCGCGGTGGCTCACGCCTGTAATCCCAGCACTTTGGAAGGCCGAGGCGGGTGGATCACAAGGTCAGGAGCTCAAGACCATCCTGGCTAACACGGTGAAACCCCGTCTCTACTAAAAATACAAAAAACTAGCCGGGCGTGGTGGCGGGCGCCTGTAGTCCCAGCTACTCGGGAGGCTGAGGCAGGAGAATCGTTTGAACCCGGGAGGCGGAGCTTGCACAGAGCCGAGATCGCGCCACCGCACTCCAGCCTGGGCGACAGAGCGAGACTCCGTCTCAAAAACAAAAAAAAAAAAAAAAAAAAAAAAAGGAAGGAGAAGAGGAGTGTTTTCCTCCAAGATTTCCCATGGGTGGGAAGGAGCTTCGACCTGGAAATAAGATCTCAGCTTCGCAGACCCTGCTGGGCTGTGCGCTGCGCTGGTCTTATCCATTAGGTTTAATGCGTTATTTATTTTATTTTTAAAGGTGTAACTCTCTCTTAACGGAGAATCAGTAGAAAGTCCTCCATCCATGCCTCTGAACACACTCCTAACTCCCCAACACTCAGGAGCCCGCAGGAAGCCCTAAGGCCCAGGGTCTCCTTGGGAGGCACGGGTGCTTCCTCCCAGGCATTTTCTCCTCTGGTCTCTGGGGTTTTGCTTCTCATAGGGGCTAAATTAATCCTGCATCCGGTGCTCGTCCAGCCCTGCGCTGCGCTGAGGAGAAGGCGGGACTCCCGGGAGGCACCCTGCAGGTCTGGATGGCCTGCCTCTGGCCAGAGCCTGGGAGGTGGAGGGAGATGGGATTTTGAGGCCATTCACCTCCCTCGTAAATGGAGCCGCTGATGCACTCTCACAGAAGGGAAGAGGTAATTTTTCCATTTGTGAGGAGAGTGCAGACCCTGGAAGGCTGCTTAGCCACTCAGCCTTTTCCAGACAGCTCATTTCTCAGACTGCAAAGGTCAGCAGCAGAATTGGGGGAGAGGGGTTTTACTGCATTCTTCAGGGCAGAGGCCATTTTAATATTCATGAAATTGCAAGTGAAGCCACTGGAATGTTCCATGGGAGCAGGCCAGCGTGTCCTTGAAAGGAACTGAGAGCTGACAGCTTTTGTGTCCACGCTGGACTCTTCCTGTAGGAGCCCTGAGCATGGGCTATGGAGACACAGGACACCGGCCACCGTGGCCCCACACCCAGGGTGGCAGGTGCAGCTGGCCCTGATGATGAAGACGACACAGATGTCTCACTCCGGAAGCCTTTGAACCTGGTGGAACGAGGAGGAATTTCAAGTGCCCAGGTTTCACGTATGCAGAAAGTTGTACATGAGATTTTTTAAAAAATGACAACCCACATGTACCAAAAACAAACATTAAACACTTTCAGCAAAAGCAGGAGATGTAAGGAAAACGGCTTCAGTGATGATTCATGTTGTTAACAACAGAGGGTCTGAAGCCAACTTTGTTTTAAAAGAAGAAAGTAGGATGAGAAAAAAGATGAGTACAATTGTTCTTAATCCAATAATAATTAAATTTATATGGCTACACCTTAAAGATAAATACAGTGCGGAAGTGCTTCTGATGAAGTGGCAGGAGAGAGAATGAAGGAAGATGATCGACAAAAGCAAGCAGGGTAATTTATCGAAAGCTAAGTACCCCTTGCTACATGAACATTTTGGGGTCCTGTACTTGTAAATCCATATTTTGTGGATCATCATCAATTATAATAAATGCTAAACACCCTTCAATACTGCACAGGATAAGCTGAAAAGGCACAGTCTGTGTTCACTGCAATCGCATTTGATATAATCATCTGTCATTCATGCATATCGTGCATAAGGTAATCATATATATACCCAGCTGAAGTGAGACAGATACGAGTTGGACAAATACTGCTAAGAATAACTGTGCAGGAGGTATCATACATGGTTTCCACCATTGCAGTGGCTGGCAGGTGACCTCCCACCTGGAGGTGACCCCAGGAATCTCTCTCAGAAGCACCAGAGTAGCCTGGGCTTTGGAGTCAGCAGCCTGGGTAAAAAAGCTTGCTCTGTCACTTCCCATTCAGTGACCTAAGCAAGTGACTTCTTGACTCTTAGTTTAGTTTCCTCCTTTAAAAAATGAAAGTAGCATCTCTCAATGTTAGGGAGTTGTGAAAATGAGAGACAGCATATGTGAGGTGCCTGGTCTTCCGCAGTTCTCTGTCTTCAGTGGCTGTTGTTTCTGGGATATTGTGGGGCTACTGAAGCTATGATCTTCAGCATTATTTTGTTTGGTTTAGATAATTCGTGTGTTTATTTTACATTTGGCTTAAAAGAAATTAGTCCTTACAGTTTTCATGAGATGTAAACTGCTTATAGTCATCCCTGGGTGTCTGTAAGGTCTTTATTCATACATTTGTGTGTCTTTCTGTTCTGTCTGGGTGTGGCCTGAAGGACGAATGCAGGGTGCTCATCTGTGCTTCACCCAAATTGAAACTCAGACCAGAGAAACTAAGGACATTGCTTGAAACACTGCAGTCCTCCGGCAACCTGCCAGGATAAAAATTACACTGAAAACCTACCATAAACACTGCAGGCCTCCATCAACCTGCTGGGACAAAAATTACACTGAAAACATACTGTGTACCACCTAAAGCCTGGGAGCAGAAGCTGGGAGAGTTCCTTCAGTAAATCAGGACATTCGAGAGCACTTGAGTAACAACAGCTACCGCCCCACTCAACAGCAGATGACTGAAAGTTCTTCCTGTGAGGTCAGGAACAAGGCAAGTGTGCCCTTGCCTGCCCTCTACTTATGTGCTTTTATAAATGGGATTATTTTCTTAATTTCCTTTTATACTGTTCATTCTGATAGTATAGGGAACAACTACTAATTTTTGCATGTAATTTTATATCCAGATATTTTGCTGAATTCCTTTTTCAGAAGAGGAAATGCCACTTCTACTCATCATAGTAGTAGAAGTCCTAGACAGAGAAATTAGGCAAAAAAAAAAAAAAAAAAGAGAGAGGGAGAAAAAATAGAAAATCATCCAAATTGGAAAGAAGTAAAATTGTTATTTGCAGATGACATAATCTTATATGTAGAAAACTGTGAAGATTCCCCCCCACCCACACACACCTACACAAGGGTATAAAAAAGGATTCAGCAAAGTGTCTGCATACAAAATTAACACACAAAAATCACTAGTGTTTCCAAATACTATCAGAATGAACAATTTAAAAAGGAAGTAAATAATTGCATTTATAATCGTGTCAAAAAAACCCAAAATTCTTAGAAATAAGCTTAACCAAGGAGGAGAGAGGCTGTACACTGAAAACTATAAAATGTTGTTATAAGACATTAAAGACACTAATGAACGGAAAGACATCTGTGTTCATGGATTGAAAGGCTTACTGTTGTTAAGATGTCAGAACTACTAATGGTGGGTTTTTGAGAAATAGAAAAATCCACCCTAAAATTTATATGGAATTACAAGGGACCCCAAATACTCAAAACAATCTTGAAAAATAAGAACTAAGTTGGAGTCTCACACTTCCTGATTTCAAAACTTACTACAGAGCTATGATAAGCAAAATAGTGTGGTTAAGTGCTGGCATAATCACAGACATCTAGACTAATGGAACAGAATAGAGAGTCCAGAAATAAACCCTGGTGTATATTGTCAAATGATTTCTGATAAGGGTGCCAAGACCATTCAATGGAGAAGGAACAGTGTTTTCAATAATTTATGTTAGAGAAACTGGATATCAACATATAAATAATGAAGCTGAACTCATACCTTATACCACATATAAACAATACTCAACAGATAAAAGACCTAAACATAAGAGCTAAACCTGTAAGACTCTCAGAAGAAAACAGAGAGGATAAGCTTTATGACATTGGACTTGACAGTGATCTTGGATACCAAAAGTACAAGCAACAAAAGAATAGATACATAATTTAGACTTCATCAGAATTAAAGCTTGTGTGCATTAAGGGACACTTTCAGCTGAATGAAAGGGATGGAATGGGAGTAGATATCATATATCAAAATTCAAATCATATATCAATCTGAAAATGGACTGATACCTACACTATTTAAATAACTACAACAGCAAAATAATCTGATTCAAAAATGGGCAAAGGACTTGGATATTTCTCCAAGAAGATTCACAAATGACCAATAAGCACAGCAACATCATTAATTATTAAGGGAATACAAAGCTAAACCACAAGGAAATGCCAACACACATTAGAGTGGTCATTGTAAAACAACAACAATGAAAAGAAAAGAACAGGTGTTGGCAAGGATGTGGAGAAGTTAGAAACCTTGTGCATTTTTGGTGAGAATATAGAAAGATGTTCCCATCATGGAAAATGATATGGTGAGTCTTCAAAAAATAAACATGGAATTTTCCTATGCCCCAGAAATTTCACTTCTGGCCATACACCCAAAAGAAGTGGAAGCAGGGCTCAGATAATTGTATACTCATGCTCAAGCAGTATTAGTTACAGTAGCCAAAGATGGAAGCAGCCCACGTGTGCAATAGACACGTAAATGGATGTATAAGCAAAATGGGGCCTAGACGGGTGAAAGAAGAACATTTAGCCTTAAAAAGAAATGAGATGCTGACACATGGCACAATATAGATGAACCCTGAAGACATTCCACAAAATGAAATTCGCCCGTCACAAAAGGAGAGTGACTGTGATTCCCCTCACATGAGGTACGAAAGCAGTCGAATTCATAAAGACAGAAAGTAGAAAGGAGGCTGCCGGGGACTGGGCGCTGGAGGGAAGGAGAACTAGGTAGTTAGAAATGGGTACAGAGTTTCACATGAGGAAAAGGACGCATTTTGGAGACAATGGCACAATGGTGTGAATGTCCTTAACACACCACAGAACTACACACACGAAATGGTTAAGATGAGTATTTTACCACCGTTTTTCCAAAAAGAACCCATGTACATGGGGGAACGCACAAAGCTGTGCATACACCAGGTCAATGTGCGTGTTCAGAAAAGGCCTAGGAAGACCTGCAGCTTTCACCTCAAGTGGTCCCTGGGCTCGTTGCAAGCCAGGGTACGTGTGGAAGAAGTGCCTCAGGACAGAACGCCTGCAGAGAATGGGAAAGGTGTTTTTGTCTTTTTCGTTTGTAGCTCTTGGCATTTAATGAGATATCTGTCAACATACTAGCTTGAAACAACCTTAAGAAACAGAGACTCCAGTGACTGCACACGGCAAATAATACAGTGTTTTCAAAAAATAGTTTGGAAAGTCACTAAACAGACTACACCAGCCTTCAACAATCAAAAACAGCCAAACCAGAAGAAGGGTTTCCAGAGTCAGCCCCTTCTAATATCCAAGTGTCCAGTTTTCAACAAAATGACTAAAAGACATATAAAAAACAGGAAAGTATGGTCCATTCAGGACAACAAAAGAAATCTTTTTTTGTTTTGTTTTGTTTTGAGACGTAGTTTCACTCTTGTTGCCCAGGCTGGAGTGCAGTGGTGTGATCTCAGCTCACTGCAACCTCAACCTCCTGGGTTCAAGTGATTCTCCTGCCTCAGCCTCCTGACTAGTTGGGACTACAGGTGCCCGCTACCATGACAGGCTAATTTTGCATTTTTAATAGAAATTAGGTTTCCCCATGTTGGTCAGGCTGGTCTTGAACTCCCGACCTCGGATGATCTGCCCGCCTCAGCCTCCCCAAGTGCTGGGATTACAGGCATGAGCCACCGTGCCTGGCCCTAAATAATATTTTTTAAAATTTTCTTAAATATGCCCCAAAACTAAAGAACACTGGGAAACAATGTATGAAGAAAATTAAAGAGATCCAAATTATTTTTTTTTAAAGAAAACAGCAGACATTCTGGAGAAAAATAAATGAAAAATTTACTCTAGAGGTTCAGCAGCAGATTTGAGCAGGTAGAGGAAAGTGTCTACAGTTAAATATGGTACAGATGACATTGTGGAGCCTGAGGAGCAGAAAGAAAAGGAAGAACAGGGAGCCGAAACTTGAGGGTCTGTGGAACATCATCGGGCTGATCAGCCTACACATTACAAGAGTCTCCGAAAAGGGAAAAGAGAACGAAATGAAAAGAAAGAATATTTGGAGAAATAAAAGCCAAAAACATCCAAAATTTGAGGAAAGATGTGAATATACAAATCCAAGAAGCATAATGAACTTCAAGTCAGATAAACATGAAGAGATTTGCAAAAGACATGTTATAATCAAACCAGTGAGGGATAAAGAGAAAATCCCAAAAGCAGCAGAAGAGAAGTGACTCATCACACACAAGGGATGATTATTTATTTTCCAGAAAAAGCTTATCTCTTGATTTCTCTAGAAACCATGGAAGACAAAAGAGAATGGGATGATAAAGTTCCTAAAGAAAAAAAAATTTTAAGAAGTTTATAGTCAGTAAAACTATCCTTCACAATGAAGGAGGAAGTAAGACATTCCCAGATAAACGGAACTTGAGACTTGCTCTACAAGAATGCGAAAGGGAACCTTGCAGATTGACATAAAAGGACAGCGGCATTAGCTCAAAGCTATATGAAGTGAAAGGTCTTCAGCGATGGTGAATACAGGGACGACCAGGAAAACCAACAAGATTATGTATTTGGTTTGTAACTCCACCTTTGTTGCTACAGAAATTAAAAGATGAATGCATAAAAGATAAGTGTACGTCTATGTTACCGTGCACTCAATGTGTAAAGGTGAAACCTGTGACAGGCCGGGCGCCGTGGCTGACGCCTGTAATCCCAGCACTTTGGGAGGCCAAGGCGGGCAGATTTCTTGAGGTCAGGAGTTCAAGACCAGCCTAGCCAACATGGTGAAAACCCATCTTTACTAAAAACACAAAAATTAGCCAGGTGTGGTGTTGGTTGCCTGTAATCCCAGCTACTTGGGAGGCTGAGGCAGGAGAATCATTTGAACCACTGTATACCAGCCTGGGCTACAGGGCAAGTCTCCATCTCAAAAAAAAAAAAAAAAAAAGATGAAACCTGCGACAGCAAGGGAGGAAGGGAGCTGTTATAAATCTAGGGTTCTATGTTTAATCCTAATATTATAAATTTATCTTCAAAGAAAGTATTTTAAAATATATACGCAACAGGAAATAAAAGGGAAATCAAAACAGTTAACTCCAAAAAAATCCACAAAAAAGACAATAATTAAGAAAATGAAGGACAGAGGCTATTTATATATTGACAGAAGGGTCAATTCAACAAGGAGATACAATGATTTTAAATATATATGTACCAAAATCAAAAACAGAGTCCCAAAATATGTGAAGCAACCATTGATGGAATTGGAGAAAGTAAGGGGTAGCTCTAATCATAGCTGGAGGCTGGAATGAACCACTTTCAATAGTAAGCAGGACGTCTACACAGAAGATTAATAAACATGGGGTTTGGACGGACACGTACAGAAGCATCCACCTGACAACAGTGGAAATACACATTCTTCTCAAGTGTACATGAAACATTCTCCACAGTAGGCCACATGTTAGGCCAAAAGACAGGTCTCAATAAATTGTAAAAGACTAAAATCATAAAAAGTTGGGTTTTTTTTTGTTTTTTGTTTTTTGTTTTTTGAGATGGAGTCTCACTCTGTCACCCAGGCTGGAGTGCAGTAGTGCATTCTCGGCTCGCTGCAACCTCTACCTTCTGGGTTCAGGCAATTCTCCTGCCTCAGCCTCCTGAGTAGCTGGGATTACAGGCACCCACCACCACACCCAGCTAATTTTTGTCAAAGTAACATTTTAGCCACAGTGACATTAATAACAGGAGGAAAACTGGAAATTTGACAATGGGTCAAAGAATCAGAAGAAAGCTATCAGACAGAATTAACACAGAGTAAAAAAGAGATCATTAAATTAAATTCAAAAAATAGAGTATCAACAAAACTGAAGTCAGTTGATTGAAAAGATCAAAATATTGGCAAACCTTGAATGACACTGACAAAGAAAAAAAAAAGAGAACACATAAACAACTAAAATTGGAAAGGAAAATGGGGACATTACTACAGACCACACAAATAAAAAGGATTTAAGACAATACTATGAACAATTGTACACCAATAAACTAGTTAACCCGGATGACATGGACAAATTTATATAACAATGAAAATGACCTAAACTGACTGAAGACAAGATAAAAAATCTCAACAGATTTATAATAAGAGATCGAATCTATAATGATAAAAAAATAAATCCTTGGAAAGAAATATCCAGAATCAGATACGTTCACTGGTGAATTCCACCAAACAGGTAAAGATGAATTAACACAAATCCACAGACCCTTCCAAAAAAATAGAAGTGGAGGAAACAATTCCTAACACATTCCTTGAGGCCAGCATTACCGTGGTAGCTGAGCCCGATAAAAATGGTCATAGAAGAGAAAATCACAAACCATATCCCTTATCAATGTAGATGCTAAAATTTTCCACAGAATACCAGCAAACTTAATCCAACAGTGTATTAAAAGGTTTAGACTTGTCATCAGGTGGGATTTATTCCAGGAATGTAAAAGTGGTTCAGTTTAAGAAAATTAATTAACACTACCTGCACATCTCAGTTGACACACGAAAGGTGTCTGACAAAATCTCATAACTGTTCATGATAAAAAAAAAAAACTCTTATAAAATTAGAAGTAGAAGGAAAATTTCTCAGTATGATAAAGGGCATTTATGAAAAGCCACAGCCAAGACATCCAGTTTCCTGTCCAACATTATGCAATAATAGAGGGAATAAATCTCCAAGAAGACACAGCAATCCTTAATGTATATGCACCTGACAACAGTGTGTCAAAATACATAAGGCAAAGACTGATACAACTGCCAGGAGGAATAGATGAGTCCACCATTAATGCTGGAGATTTTGAGTGTCTGCTCTCAGTAATTGACAGATCCAGCAGGCAGAAATTCAGAAATTCAGCAATGACAGGGTTGAACTGAGTGATACCATCAATCAACTGAATCTGACATCTGTAGGCTACTTCATCCAACAGCAGCAGAACACAGATTCTTCCCAAGCTCGCACAGAACATTCGCCAAGATAGGCCACATTCTGGGCCAAAAATCTAGACACAGATCTCAACCTTTTCATAAAAGTTACCTCGACATAGATCACAGACCTAAATATAAAACACAGGGTCTAGAATTTAACATCAGAGGGAACCCAGGTGACTTTGAGTCTGGTGATGAGTTTTTAGAGACCGCACCGAAGGCACCTAGGAAAGAACAGATTGAGTGATTGGACTTCATTAAAATTTAAAACTTCTGCTTTCTGAAAGACAGTTAAGAGAATGAAATGACAGACCACAGATTTGACAACATCTTTGCAAATCACGTATCCAGTAACAGATTGGTATCCAAAATGTACAAAGAACTCTTAAGCAACAAGAAGAAAACACACATGGAGACAAGAACAGATTCAGGGTTTCTGGGGGCTTGGGGGAGAGGGAACGGGAGTTATTTCTGAATGATTATAGAGGTTCTATTTGGACATGCAATGCATGTGCAGCGTTGCGAATGTATTTAATGACGCATAATTACACACTTAAAATGAGTGAAATGGCAAATTTTATGTCATCTGTACCAGAATAAAAAATATTTACAAAAAATAAAATTAAATGCACATACCTTTTGACTCAGTTAATTAACTTGGAATTCATCCCATAGAAGTGCCCATATGCTCACCAATGTGGAAGGAGAGCTGCTTCTTGCAGCAGGGTTTGTAGGAATGAAAGATGGAAAATGAACGCGAGTGTCCATCTGTAGGAAAACAGCCACTTCACTGTGCATCTGTGCAGGGAGCACCATGAAGCCCATAAAATGAGTGAGGCCAAGCCCTACGTGCGGTATGGCCTGATCTCAAAGATAGTGTGTCTCATTTAAAAGTAGCAAGATGCAGAACCCCAGATGTCCTGTGTTTTATGAGGTCAGGACTGAGACGCACATGTGCCTGCCGGCCACTGTCTGTGCTGACTGGTGTGTGCCGGAGCCCCTGGACCCGGTCAGATATTTGATGTTGCCCCTTTGGGGGGTGACATTTACCTATGTCTGTTTATATAGACATAGAACATCACTGTAAAACAAAACAGGCCAGAAACCCAGTAGCAAAAGTTGTCTGTAAAGAGGGGTGCAGCGTTTCTCAGTCATGAGTACCTGGAATCTTGTTGTTGTTCAGCATGCGTTGCATTATATATATTCAGTGTTGATTTAACAGTTAGAATGTAAAACTTGACACTTAGAATAAAAACAAATTTGTCTTCTTCACCACTGGATTCTGGAGGAATCCGTGAGTCTTCAGAGAACCCTCCGGTTGTCTGCACATGTGCCGTTCAGCTATGCTCTCACCTATAATCTCCCCTATACTCCCCCCCTTAATTATGGAGAATGGTAAAGTCCGGAATTTTGATAAACCTTTGAAGAAAAATCAAGAATGGACAAACAGTAGTGAGGCTGGGTTCCTCATAAAGGTTTTTCCTGTGGAACACCATAACACTTCCTCAGGCCATTCAGTAACAGTCCAAAGTCAGGGGTGGATTCAGGCTTCACAGCGGCAGGCTCTGTCCCGGGATACCTCAAGTCCCACCTGAACCTGATGGTCACTACAGGACAAAAGAGGGTTTCAGTCACAGACTGGAAAAGGTCAGATTTTTGAATATCAGATGTAGGAAGGCTGAATTATGTCTGGGGAGGGGAGAAGGAAGCAAGATCCAAGTTCAGCTGGCGCCAAAACTGAACCTTGATAACCATCCCCCTCTCATATTCATCAGCAGCATCAAAGACTAAGGGTTCAAATCCACCTGACCCCCAAGAACCACCGCACGGTAGCTTTCCACACAAAATGATCACACTTCAGTATTGGTTATCAGATTTTTAAAATTACAATATTTCATAAAATCCTGTGAAACTGTATGATACGAAACACGTGTTTATTTGCTTTAGAATTCGTAGCAACACACGCTTTTCAGTTATCCACTGTAAATGAGTTACTGCTGACTTAATTAGATATGTGAAATATTGGTTTCAAATTTTGAAAATTGTAACCTTTCATAAAATCCTATGAAACTGTATGATGAGAAACACACGTTTATTTGCTTTAGATTTCATAGCAGCACAGACGTTTCAGTTATCCGTTTTAATTGAGTTACTGTTGAGTTAGACACGTGAAATACTTTTGGTCACTGACCCTTATAAAGTAGAGGTTTTCTTTGCACCTGGAATTCCAACTTCACACTGCAGCCAACTGAAGTGATTTTGCCGTCGCACTGTTCACCTTGGAAGTGCATATTCTGTCACAGTAATGAAATTAAAGGGCACACAATATTTTTTTAAAACTCCATTAAATTAATTACACTCTAGAGCTGTCTGTGCTGTAACAAAAGCATTTTGGGATTTCTCCATCCAAAAAATAACACTTTTAACATGTCAGGGGAGACATGGCCGAGTTACCCTCCAGCCACCATCTGACTTTCCCAGCATCACTCCTGTGTCACCGCCTCTCAGGTGTGCATTAGATTGAGGGTCTCATTGGAGAATTGGGGCAGCCCATGGTCTGGTGTAAGGAGGGTCTGTCCGCCTGGGGCTGGGCTGCTGGGGGCCCCTCTCCCACCCCTATCCGCCTCCTGCTCCGGAGGTCGAGGACTTTCGGGGGTCTCCCTATGGTGCCACTTCTCTCTCTTTTCTGAATTTTCGTGGAAGTTTCACTTGTTCATTATGAAGGATACACACAGGATTGAACCTGTCACCAACCTAAGTGTTCTCTGAATTTCCATGGGTAAATCCTAAACCTTTTTGAAGAAAAATACTACATGTTTCCTTTTACAGCTCCCATGTGCCCTACCGGGGAAGGCGCAAGATGCCCTCTGAAAGGGTGACCTATCCCAGCAGTTCTAAGCCGCCGTTGCGTGTTTTTAGTTATTAATAGGACTTCCAGAACACCGCTCCGTGGCGGTGGTTTTCTAAGTGACGCTTTTTTACAAAAGAGGTTTTTTCAGAAGCGGCGACACCATAGAACCGTATTTAGTAAGTAACATTTTGAGAAGAGTAAAGCTTCCTGGAGAAAGTCAAGAAATAACTTGCGATAATTCCCAACACTCAAGAAACTCGGCAGCTTTTAAAAATAGAGCGTGTGCAAGTACAGTGTCTCTCCAGCAGTGGTCTACACTCGAGAAACTCGGCAGCGTTTAAAAATAGAGCCTGTGCGAGTGCAGCGTCTCTCCAACATTGGTCTACACTCGAGAAACTCGGCAGCGTTTAAAAATAGAGCCTATGCGAGTGCAGCGTCTCTCCAACAGTGGTCTACACTCGAGAAACTCGGCAGCTTTTAAAAATAGAGCGTGTGCGAGTGCAGCGTCTCTCCAACAGTGGTCTACACTCGAGAAACTCGGCAGCTTTTAAAAATAGAGCGTGTGCGAGTGCAGCGTCTCTCCAACAGTGGTCTACACTCGAGAAACTCGGCAGCGTTTAAAAATAGAGCCTGTACGAGTGCAGCGTCTCTCCAACAGTGGTCTACACTCGAGAAACTCGGCAGCTTTTAAAAATAGAGCGTGTGCAAGTACAGCGTCTCTCCAACAGTGGTCTACACTCGAGAAACTCGGCAGCGTTTAAAAATAGAGCCTGTACGAGTGCAGCGTCTCTCCAACAGTGGTCTACACTCGAGAAACTCAGCAGCTTTTAAAAATAGAGCGTGTGCAAGTACAGCGTCTCTCCAACAGTGGTCTACACTCGAGAAACTCGGCAGCGTTTAAAAATAGAGCCTGTGCGAGTGCAGCGTCTCTCCAACGGTGGTCTACACTCGAGAAACTTGGCAGCTTTTAAAAATAGAGCGTGTGCGAGTGCAGCCTCTCTCCAACAGTGGTCTACACTCGAGAAACTTCGCAGCTTTTAAAAATAGAGGCTGTGCGAGTGCAGCGTCTCTCCAACAGTGGTCTACACTCGAGACACTTGGCAGCTTTTAAAAATAGAGCGTGTGTGAGTGCAGCGTCTCTCCCACAGTGGTCTACACTCGAGACACTCGGCAGCTTTTAAAAATAGAGCGTGTGCGAGTGCAGCGTCTCCCCAACAGTGGTCTACACTCGAGAAACTCAGCAGCGTTTAAAAATAGAGCCTGTACGAGTGCAGCGTCTCTCCAACAGTGGTCTACACTCGAGAAACTCGGCAGCTTTTAAAAATAGAGCGTGTGCGAGTGCAGCGTCTCTCCAACAGTGGTCTACACTCGAGAAACTTGGCAGCGTTTAAAAATAGAGCCTGTGCGAGTGCAGCGTCTCTCCAACGGTGGTCTACACTCGAGAAACTTGGCAGCTTTTAAAAATAGAGCGTGTGCGAGTGCAGCGTCTCTCCAACAGTGGTCTACACTCGAGAAACTCGGCAGCTTTTAAAAATAGAGCGTGTGCGAGTGCAGCGTCTCTCCAACAGTGGTCTACACTCGAGACACTCGGCAGCGTTTAAAAATAGAGGCTGTGCGAGTGCAGCGTCTCTCCAACAGTGGTCTACACTCGAGACACTCGGCAGCGTTTAAAAATAGAGCGTGTGCGAGTGCAGCGTCTCTCCAACAGTGGTCTACACTCGAGACACTTGGCAGCTTTTAAAAATACAGCGTGCGTGAGTGCAGTGTCTATCCCATAGTGGTCTACACTCGAGAAACTCGGCAGCTTTAAAAATAGAGCGTGTGCGAGTACAGCGTCTCTCCCACAGTGGTCTACACTCGAGAAACTCGGTAGCGTTTAAAAATAGAGCCTGTGCGAGTGCAGCGTCTCTCCCACAGTGGTCTACACTCGAGAAACTCGGCAGCTTTTAAAAATAGAGCGTGTGCGAGTGCAGCGTCTCTCCAACAGTGGTCTACACTCGAGACACTCGGCAGCGTTTAAAAATAGAGCGTGTGCAAGTGCAGCATCTCTCCAACAGTGGTCTACACTCGAGAAACTCGGCAGCTTTTAAAAATAGAGCGTGTGCGAGTGCAGCGTCTCTCCAACAGTGGTCTACACTCGAGACACTCGGCAGCGTTTAAAAATAGAGCCTGTGCGAGTGCAGCGTCTCTCCAACAGTGGTCTACACTGGAGAAACTCGGCAGCTTTAAAAATAGAGCGTGTGTGAGTGCAGCGTCTCTCCAACAGTGGTCTACACTCGAGACACTCGGCAGCGTTTAAAAATAGAGCGTGTGCGAGTGCAGCGTCTCTCCAACAGTGGTCTACACTCGAGAAACTCGGCAGCTTTTAAAAATAGAGGCTGTGCGAGTGCAGCGTCTCTCCAACAGTGGTCTACACTCGAGAAACTCGGCAGCTTTTAAAAATAGAGCCTGTGCGAGTGCAGCGTCTCTCCAACAGTGGTCTACACTCGAGAAACTTCGCAGCTTTTAAAAATAGAGGCTGTGCGAGTGCAGCGTCTCTCCAACAGTGGTCTACACTCGAGACACTTGGCAGCGTTTAAAAATAGAGGCTGTGCGAGTGCAGCGTGTCTCCAACAGTGGTCTACACTCGAGACACTCGGCAGCGTTTAAAAATACAGGCTGTGCGAGTGCAGCGTCTCTCCAACAGTGGTCTACACTCGAGACACTCGGCAGCGTTTAAAAATAGAGCGTGTGCGAGTGCAGCGTCTCTCCAACAGTGGTCTACACTCGAGAAACTCGGCAGCTTTTAAAAATAGAGCGTGTGTGAGTGCAGCGTCTCTCCAACAGTGGTCTACACTCGAGACACTCGTCAGTGTTAAAAAATAGAGCGTGTGCGAGTGCAGCGTCTCTCCCACAGTGGTCTACACTCGAGACACTCAGCAGCTTTTAAAAATAGAGCGTGTGTGAGTGCAGCGTCTCTCCAACAGTGGTCTACACTCGAGACACTCGTCAGCGTTTAAAAATAGAGCGTGTGCGAGTGCAGCGTCTCTCCAACAGTGGTCTACACTCGAGAAACTCGGCAGCTTTTAAAAATAGAGCGTGTGTGAGTGCAGCGTCTCTCCAACAGTGGTCTACACTCGAGACACTCGTCAGTGTTTAAAAATAGAGCGTGTGCGAGTGCAGCGTCTCTCCAACAGTGGTCTACACTCGAGACACTCGTCAGCGTTTAAAAATAGAGCGTGTGTGAGTGCAGCGTCTCTCCAACAGTCTACAAATGGCTTTGCTGCTTTTCATTTCTTTGCAACTCTTGAAGGGTCCTGTTTCAAACTTTGATTTCTCCAAATCGTGGCAACAACATGAAATAAAAAGGTTGGTGTTTAGGTTGTCAAAGAATGTATAGCTTTATCAGTTCAGCTTTACTTTCCTGGATTTATTTTCAAAACCATCTTCATATTGTATTTCTCCCACAGGGCTCCCCACTGTCCATATCTAGTTCACCCAGATTGTTAGTGACCTTCGTTTCTTCGTATCTAGTATATGCCAGTTAGCAAAATGGCAGCCCTCTTCACGCCTTGGATTCTAGAAAAGGCTGTTCCTGACTTTGAAGTTTAGGCCTCCACAGGAGGCCTGTTGTCAGGGCCGGTTCGTTACCTCCAGTTTATCACCTAGGGGAACAGATTCCCCCGCCGATGTCGAAAGGCAGTTCTCTCATGTTACGAAAATGGGATCTGTGGCTATAAGTTAAATACTGCCAAGCAACATACTAAGTTACCACTTTCAAAATGAAAATTGAGTGGTTCCTATTCGTACTTAATATATTTTTACTGTTTTCATTGTAACTAATCCATTGTCAGTGATCAGCCCCCCCCCCGCCCCCTCGCCCATCCTTGGGGCCTCCAATGTGTTCCCCAACAGCTGCCGGAATGGTCTTCCTAAAAGGCAGAGTTAATGATGTCCTTTCACCACTTAGAAGGGTCCAGTGGGTCCCCATAGATTTTAGGATTAACTCAAAACGCTCAGCATGGTTTTTCCTCACCTGTGAGATGGGAATCGACATAGTCTCTGTTTTATGGGGCTTTCAGGAGATTTAGGTGGTGTATCAGTGCGAGCTCGGTGGCGAACAATGGGCTCCCTGTTGCTCGTTGAAGCAGAATGGAGACTTGGCGGGATTAGCGGCCTCTGAGGTCTCCGAGGGCTGGAGGGCCAAGCTCAGCTGGGATCTTGTGCTCGCTGCCTCCCTGCAGTGCCTGGGGCCCCCATGGCTCCCCTCCCTCCTCCCTGGTCAGGGCGTCTGCTGCCACCCCAGTGAACTGCTAAGTTCTCAGCTAAGCTCTCTGGAATTGTTACCACCGCCTCTGCCACAATGTGTGCTGGTAAAATGAATCCCCTGAAACCTGAGACCAACCTTCTCTGACTCAAATCCCAGATCAGAGGTTCATGCAGGTGTTGGGAGAGAGGCCACGTGTGGAAACCTCCTGGCAGGATTCTAGGAAATGAGTGTGTCTGCCCACTCACTCAGCCATCCTCTGTCTTCCAGCTCTGCACCCTCGGAGAGATTGGAGTGGGTGTGGAGGCAGCTGACGTGGAGCCAACAGAGTGTTCATTATGGGAATACAGCATGAGTTAAAAGTCACAATCACTGATTTCAAGGAGCTTGTATTCTCCTAGGAAGGTAGGCTTGCTGGACGTCCATCAGCTGTGATGAGATGAGAAAAGGGCCTGGAGAGTGACTGGGGAGGGGCTCATGTCAGTTAAGGGAAAGCCTCTCTGAGGAGTGCACGTTGGAAAAGATGTCAGAACGATGGGAAGAGGCAGGACATCAGCAGCTTTGGGGGACAGTTTCCAGGCAGGGAGATGTTGTCTGTAAGGGGCCAGAGACCGGAAGGAAACGTAGATCACATGCCAGACAATGGCAAGGTCAGGTTGCTGGAGCACTGCAGTCAGCATGGAAAACCACAGGAGACAAAGGCAGAGGGAAGAGACGGGGACGATGGGTGACCCAGGGCCTTTGAGAATGTGCCAGGACTTAGCTTTAACCCAGATGCTGGTGGAGTAACAGGGGTGGGGGAGAATAGGGCAGGAGACAAAGGTAAGCGCACATGAAGACGAAAGGTGTTGCGGCCTCTGGGCCCAGGGAGTTGAGGAACTCGGGAGTGGTTGGGCTCTGGGTGCATTCTGCAAGTAGAGACCATGAGAGTGAGGTGAGGAAGAGGAGGGCTGAAGGGGACGGCCTGTGTTCCAGCTGAGTGTTGAGTCCTTAGTCATGGTGGCACTGTTTCCGGAAATGGGGAAGGGTAAGGATGAAATGATTTGCAGGGGAAAGTTATGTGTTCTTCCTGAGCCCCACTGAGTGTAGTAAAGATCCAAGCAGACACAAGGTGGCAGCTACCAGGAGATGCCTGGAGTCCAGGAAAGAGGCCAGGACTCGAGGGAACCGTAGCGTCGCATCCTACAGATGACACTGAACCCTGGAGCCGGACCGGAGGAGGAGGACGGGACACAGTGAAAAAGGGTGGGTGCGTGGAGCCCAGGGTGTCTGTCTGCCGAGGCTGGGAAGGCATCAGGAGCCGGGCAGACGGGTGAACGGGCAACATACGGGCACAGAGCCGTGGGTCCCACGTGATGTGATAACCACCCCTGTGCTTGAGCTCAGCCTGGTGCTTCATGCTCAGCTCTCTCAACTTCTCGAACATATTCTAAGTTCTGGTCATATGGGACTAATTGCAGGTGTCCCCAAGCACGACATTCTCACCTCTCTTAGCTTTGAACCAGCTGCCACTTCCCAGCACCTTGTGCACACCCACCCCAGTCATGGCCAGACCTCTCCAACTCCTGCGGTCTTCCCCCAAGCCATAGCCCCACAAGAACAGTGTTGTGACAGCCAAGGCTGGAGGTGCTGCCACCTGTGTGTGTCTGTGTGTGCACGTGTGTTTCTCTCTGTGTTTGCATTCGTGTGTGTGTGCACATGTCTGTATGCACAGGTGTGTAGGGGCATGTGTGTGCATGTATCTGTGTGTATACATGTATCTGTGTGTGTGCATGCATCCCTGTGCCTCTACATGTGTGCGTGCATCCGTGTGCCTCTGCGTGTGTGTGGGCATCCGTGTGCCTCTGTGCCCAGGCATCCATGTGTCTCTAAGTGTGCACATGCATCTGTGTGCCTCTGTGTGTGCGCATGCATCCATGTGCCTCTGTGTGTGTGTGCATCCATGTGTCTCTGCATGTGTGCATGCATCCGTGCCCGTATGTGTCTGCGTCCATGTGTCTCTACGTGTGCACGTGCATCCATGTGCCTCTGCATGTGTGTGTGCATCTGTGTCTCTGCATGTGCACGTGCATCTGTGCCATGTGCGTGTGCGTGCATCTGTGTGTCTCTGTGTGCATCTGTGTGTCTCTGCGTGTGCGTGTGTGTCTGTGTGTCTCTGCATGTGCTTATGCATCCGTACCATGTGCGTGCATGTGTATCCGTGTGTCTCTGCATGTGTGCATGCATCCATGTGTCTGTGTGTGCTTGCATCCATGCGTCTCTGCATGTGTGCGTGCATCCGCATCCATGTGCGTATGCATGGTCCGTGACCACCATGCTGCTTGGCTGTCATGGGAGGACTTGTTCACTGCCTCTGCCTTCTAAGTCCTGAGCTGACTTTCCTCCACAGCTCACAGGAATTCAGCGGATAATTGCTTTTACATCAGGATACTTTTTTTCATTTTCACCTTTAGTATTAGAAAGGAATTGAAGCTCTTATCAGGATGTTTAAAATCACATGCATAGAACTAATGGATTTTCTCTAGAACTCGGCTTCCCCATTTATAACATCCAAAATTTAGTGATTCTCTGACTTTAGAATTCTAAAGGGGAAAATGTGTAATTAGAATTCTAAGGCAAAGAATGTGCTTGGTGATTATTTGGATTCTGGATAAACAAGGGTTCCTTTCTTTGTTTCCAATTAGTGGAATTAATATTCTCAGACCCATTCTGCAGCTTACAGAGCAACCAAACAAACTGATTCAGTAAATACAGGCATTTAATTTTATGTTGTGGTTTAAAATCTAGCTTAAGCCCTGAAGCGTGCTTAAATTCTAGAGATTAGAATTTATATCTTTTGTAATCTCCAATGGGTTTTAATTTTGTAAGTGAGCCAACAGATTAGCAGAAACCCTAGATAACAGTGAACTAATGATTTAAAAAAAAGTCCCAACTTGATATTAAGTGAATACCTATTTTTTTCTAGCAAACTGTTCCTTCAACATAGGTGAATTCTTTAATTTTGAATTAATTAGCCACTAAATATTTCAGATGTACATCATTTAATAGAAATTCGAGTATTTCATATTTTCCAAAAATACAATTTTAGTTAAAAGCCAAGCATACTGAAAAAACTTCGAAATCTCAAACTTAAAATGTTCATTCTTTACCACAATAAATACAACAAAGGCAAATCAGGACATGTATTAATAGAGAAATGTCCATGGAAATGCATGTACCCACCCGGCGTGCTGGATCCTGCTTCTGTGACTTCACGCGTGTGGATCCGTGGAAATGCGTGCACCCGCCCAGCATGCTGCGTCCTGCTTCTGTGACTTCACACGTGTTGATCTGTGGAAATGCATGCACCCACCCAGCGTGCTGCATCCTGCTTCTGTGATTTCACACGTATTGTTCCATGGAAATGTGTGCGCCCACCTGGCGTGCTGTCTCCTGCCTCTGTGATTTCACGTGTATTGTTCCATGGAAATGCATGCACCCACCCATCGTGCTGCGTCCTGCCTCTGTGACTTCACACATGTTGTTCCTTCAGCCTAAGATGATTCCCTGCGTTTCTTGCCCTGGGAAACATAGATCAGATCGGCTCCTCCCCCCTGCATCAGGGCCTTCTCTGATAAGCCGAGTTAATAATTTCCTCTTTAATGGTCCTATATTTGTAGGTTTCTATGATGTATCATTTGTCACAGTGCATAATTATTATAATCATTGTGTACTATTATCGGAGTGTCTGCCTCACTTTGTAGATTATTAACTCCTTGTAAGTTGTCTTATTTTTAAAATTCACCTTTGTCCCCTCCATGCCCCATAGAATAAGTGCTTAGTAGATGTTGACACTGTTAAACTCACAATTTTTTTTTTTTTTTTGAGACAGAGTCTCGCTCTGTTACCCAGACTGGAGTGCAATGGCGTGATCTCGGTTCATGCAACCTCCGCCTCCCAGGTTCAAGCAATTCTCCTACCTCAGCCTCCTGAGTAGCTGGGACTACAGGCACCAGCCTCCACGCCCGGCTTACTTTTTGTATTTTACTGGAGACAGGGTTTCATTGTGTTGCCCAGGCTGGTCTTGAACTCCTGAGGTCAGGCAATCCACCCGCCTCAGCCTCCCAAAGTGCTAGGATTACAGGCATGAGCCACTGCACCCGGCCTGAAACTCACAAGTTTTAAGGCTTTTTAAACAACCACGATGCACATCCTCCGGGAGGAAAGGTGGTTAAACCGCTTCTGGCTTTGAGTCTGGGTGGCCCCGGTAGTAAGTTTACGTGACAACCATGGCAAGGGAGCTCTTCCTCCCACCCCACACTGTGGCTCCTGCTGTACCAGGTTGCAGACGCAGTACCAGGGCGAGTGTAGTGCGGGAAGCAATGGCTCCTGCTGAACCAGGATTCGAACGTGGGGCAGGCAGCAGCAGCTCCTGCTGTACGGGGATGCAGATACGGAGCGGGCAGCAATGCCCCAATGCCCTGTGGCCTCTTCTGGGCAGCTATCCTTAGCACCCTATTCTAGAACAATCCCAAACTTGCCAGGTGAGACAGGAGCCCTGCCTCCGCTCCAATGACTGGTCGCTGCCTGTGCCACCCAGGACACCTTTTTATTTGGATCTTTGAAGAAAGAGTTTCACATCGTGTTTCCTTTCCTAACCACCTGTTCCTGGAGCTGAGGGCTTGGCTGTACTACTAGCTGAAACCAGGGCATTTCATGGATCACGTTTCCTAATTATTTGTTTATTATTTATGCTCTGCCTCATTCGGAAAGCCCAGCTGTTATTTAATAGGATTAATGTGGCGCGTTTCGACACAGTAAAGAAGTTGCTGTTTCTTTACACCAGATTCATCTGGCAACTGAAGTGTGCGTCTGGTCTGCTGTGATATCCAACCGGAAAGGCTGAAGCTATGTCTCTAGGGCCTCTGGCTTAGTGAAATAAGAAGCGTCCATTGAAGGGGGAGGAAGACGACCCCCAAAGTCTGTATTTTGAATATGGACTGTTTGCTCTTAAGTTGCTTCAAACATGATTCAGTCTTTCCCAAATTAGGACAAACCACTGTCTCTGCCCCCATAAGAACAGAATGGTGTTTGTAATTCAATAACAACAGAGTTTTCATTGAGCTCCAGGCCATTTTGTCCCAGAGAGCACATTCCTATCCTATCTCTTCTGTACTGACTCAACTTAGTCCTGAGTTTGACTTTACAACACTGTAAGAAAGTTAGATTGATGTTTCAGCTGGCCTTTATAAAATGCACATGATTTCGTCTGCGTTACTGTCTGAAATTCTTCCACAGCGTTCAAGCGACATGTTTCCACAGGCAGAGCAGGCACCTTCTTCCCAGATCATCTTACCCATTAACACATTGCTCAGGATGTAAAACTGTCCAGGACACAGTGTTACATCCATTCTCCATAGGGTTTTCTTAAGCTGCGTGGTTTGCAATGTAAGGACAAGTGTTATCCTCTCAAAAGCGCCTTTGGACTGGAATTGATTCCTGTGTCCTTGAGCCATGTCCTTTTCAGCCATTTCACAATTCCTTAACTGTTGAGGACTTAACATATATGAGATATTTGGGCAGGCACGACTTCCATGTTCCTGTCTTTCTTCCTAAAATATCAGAGGAGCGGGAGTCACAGCATCTAAAATGAAACTCATCTTGGCAGTCCCGTGAAATACGGAGCTGATTTGTTTTCTTGCTGCAGAGAGCACAAGAATAAAGGAAGACTCCACAAGCCTCGTCTTCCAGATCGTGCTGACCTGCTTGGCTCAGCCTTGCCCTGGAGGCAGACTCGGGATGAGAATTACGGATTCACAAATATCCGAAACCACCCCTGTACTTCCCCAGGCCAGATCATTCTCTCAGTTTAGACCTCTCAACCTGAACCGATGGATGCTCTGCCTGGCATCCTTGGCCTCCACCTCACCCAACACTCACCTTCTTGTCTTCCAGTCTTAGTTTAAAACTCACCTCTGCAGGGTCACTTTCCCCCAGTCCCCCAGAGCTGGTGTAGCGGATGGTCTTCTCAGCGAGGCTGTCCTGAGATGTTCAATGTCGCAATGAGACAGTCATTCCACGACCCCAAGAGTGAGATGTCCGATGGTCTCACCAAGCTTTCTTTCCTGGACCAAGGAAGTTCCCAAACAACTTAGCATCTTAGAGTTAAAGCTGCCTGTGTGTCCAGCCATCTGCCTGCAGGGGGCGTCCTCCCACCTCCAGCAGCCCTGGTCCCTGGGTGTGGTCCCCCGACCCTGCAGCCCGGCTGCTGTAGCGCGTTTTTGAAGTGAGCTTTCACTGCCTCCCATGGTTTCAAGATTTGGGGTGCTCGGCGGATTTATCTGTAAAAAACTTTGTACGCATACATTGCTAGCTCAGGCCAAATTAAATCTAGTTAACGTTTGCTTTTATTTGGGATGCAAAAGGGATCTCCCCTGAAAGGATTAAGGGGACACAAGCATACCCTACAGGGCCTGAACGGAGCAGCCTCCAGCAGTGATTGGCGGGGTTCTCATTATTCCTCTCGCGTGTGCTGCTAGAGAGTTTAAAGCAACTTTGGTACCGCTTGCCAAAGAAAAATGACAGACTCAGGTCTGTTTTCCTGAGACGGGTGAAATGTTAATTTACTGTATCAAGAGTTGTCGTCAGCTCCTTTTGGATCGTTTTTTTGCAAGGACCGTCCATGGAGATGGCTTTCCAGCCACAGTCTTCTGTTTTGATCTCCTTTTTCTATTTTGTAATCTTTATTGTAGTGGTAACTACAGGTCTAATCATTATCTTCCCCCGTAAGCTATAAGGCCCATGGGAATGTGAGTTTCTGCCTCCGGGTTAGCCATCTGGTTTTCAGGACCCAGTGTAGAATGAAAAGATGGGCCATTTGTTCAATAAGCAGGAAAAATGGCCATAAGTGGACTCAACTATACAGCTTTTTTCTTCTTCGATGGTTTCTTGACTTGCTATGGTATTTTTTGTTTGCTCCTTAATGCTATTTTGAATAAAGATTGGAAGTCTAACTATTAGCATGCTTTTACCATTTGTCTTTATACTGTGTGACAGCAGTTTTAAATAAAAATAAAAGGGCATTTAACTTGTATGCAGAATCAGTGAAATTAGACAATCTGTATTTCACTATTGCACATATATTTTGTTCTTCCTGGAACAGTGGAAATATTGAACTAAAAAAGTACTTTAATATCACTTCACAGTGTACCACATTCTAACAAAACTCTCTCCCACTGACTCACTGATGAGCAAGGAAGAAATGTAAGGAAAGGAGCTCTGGGCCGCCCTGTCTTTCAGGACATGGCACGCGCTCGGTCTCGGTCCGGGCCTGTCACTCAGGACACGGCGTGCACTCGGTCTCGGTCCGGTCCTGTCTTTCAGGACATGGCACGCACTCGGTCTCAGTCCGGGCTTGTCACTCAGGACACGGCGCGTGCTCGGTCTCAGTCTTGGTCTGGGCCTGTCACTCAGGACACGGCGAGCTCTTAGTCTTGGTCTGGGCTTGTCAAGTGAACAGGAGCTTTCCATTTGGGAAATTAAAACCTTTAAAGAACATGCTTGAACCTTAGTTTCTTCTTCCTGTTTTTCCAACTGGAGAGACTAAGTTCACAGCTGTTTCCATCTCTCATTTCTTCACATGACTCTGATTTATCCCATTTTCACAGTACCTTCCTCCCTTTGGTGTTGTAGTATATGTTGTTGTGGAAACATGTAAACACAGTGACAATACAGGGAGAAGAGAAAAAGTGGAAAAAACTGTTACATAAGATCAGCCGTGCTCTTTAGCCAGCATAAAATGTCTTGAGCAATGACACAGGCCTTGGGCTATGAGGGTGAACTAAGGCCTAGGCAGTGATTCTGAAGCAAATGTTTCCATTGCGAAAATCCCGGGCAGGCCCCTGGAGGCAGAGCCCTGGTTCCACGTGGCCCAGCCGTCTCCTGAGAGCGGAGCCTGCCTTCCATCCTCCTGACACTGAGCGAGATTACAGTTCCGAGGCGTCTCACATTTCACCATTTAGGACGTTAACACTGCTGTGTATTTCTTTGCAATTTTACAGGTAAGGCTGAGCTAAGTGACCAACCAGGGTCCCTTGGCCAAGGCGGATGTGATGGGCCCACCCTCCACTGCACAGCCTCAGAGCTCCACACCTGTGGCTCCACGGGGACTGCAGTGGGTTTCATGTAAAAGGTCATTAGTCTCTGTAGAGTATTTTGGGCTCATGAGAATGATGTATGCCTGAGTCATCATTCCATCTCTTCCTTTGTCTTTTATTGGTTTAGTGACTTCTCGTCATTTAGTTATTGCTTGCTATAGCTTGTGGAAAATAGATCCAGAGAAGTTGAACTTGACCTTTTTAAAAAGTTTAAATCTCTTGCAAGTGTAAAGAAACATGGTGAGCCAGGCATGGTGGCTCATGCCTGTAATCCCAGCACTTTGGGAGGCCAAGGCAGGTGGATCACGAGGTCAGGAGATCGAGACCATCCTGACTAACACCATGAAACCCCATCTCTACTAAAAATACAAAAAACTATCCGGGCGTCGTGGCGGGCGCCTGTAGTCCCAGCTACTCAGGTGGCTGAGGCAGGAGAATGGCTTGAACCCAGGAGGGGGAGCTTGCAATGAGCAGAGATGGCACCACTGCACTCCAGCCTGGGCAACAGAGGGAGACTCCGTCTCAAAAAAATAAATAAATAAAATGACGTGCTTGTAAATGAATCCATTCTCCACTTTTTCATTAATTCTGATGGATCTTCCTCAGACTGTACAAGACCACAGGGATTGCTGGTTTGTGTCTTTGGGCCCTGGAGGCAGAGCAGAGCCCTTTAGACTTCATGGGTGAGGCTGAGACTGTGTTTCTGTAACAAGGGCCTTTTTATAGTTGTTTTTTTTGGAGACAGAGTCTCACTCTGTCTCCCAGGCTGGAGTGCAGTGGTGTGATCTCAGCTCACTGCATACTCCACCTCCCAGGTTCAAGCTATTCTCCTGCCTCAGCCTCCCAAGTAGCCGGGACTACAGGCATGTGCCACCACACCTGGCTAATTTTTTTATTTTTTTAGTTGAGACAGGATTTCACCTCATTGGCCAGGCTGGTCTCAAACTCCTGACCTCGTGATCCACCCACTTCAGCCTCCCAAAGTGCTGTACAGTTAATATTATTATTATTATTTTTGAGATGGAGTCTCACTGTGTCGCCCAGGCTGGAGTAGAGTGGCATAGTCTTGGCTCACTGCAACCTCTGCCTCCTGGGTTCAGGCTATTCTCCTGCCTCAGCCTCCCGAGTAGCGGGATTATAGGCTCATGCCTGACTAATTTGTGTGTGTTTTTTTGTTTTTTTGTTTGTTTGTTTGTTTTTTGGTTTTTTTTAGTAGAGACAGGGTTTCACCATGTTGGCCAGGCTGGTCTTGAACTCCTGACCTCAGGTGATCTGCCCGCCTTGGCCTCCTAAAGTGCTGGGATTACAGGCGGAAGCCACTGCACCTGGCCTTACAGTTAATATTCTTAAATTTAGTGATCGTCATTATTCATTCTTTTTAAAAACTCGTAGTAAAGACAGAACAACAACCACAGCAAAATGAACTAAGCTTCCCATAATAACGGGAGACGGCGGAAATGTCGGGATGCCGCTTACGTATCGGGGTGTTTATGCAGAGCTGTGTTTCTGAGAAAGGCCGAACACAGATGCTCATGTACACACTTCGGTGGTTTGCTGAGAAATGTGGTAGAAGCTTTCAGGAAATGGCATGAAATAATGAAGGGTCTGATCCTCTGCAGCACTAACACTCTGAGTAGCTGTGTTATGAATTATGCGTGGAAGGCACTTTTCAGCCTTAGATCTGCAGGCAGAGTCCACATGCTGGGCACATGTGTGCTGCTCTCGTGATGACTTGGCTAAACTGCGACAGGCGACAGGTGACAAGCGACAAGCGACGAGTGGGAAGAAAAGTCTTCAGAAGGTGACAGATTCAAATGTATGCACCAAACTGGGCCCAGATCAGCCTGGAGTTCTCAAGAGATGTGAAGAAACCTTTATGGATTAAAAACAATGTCTTTTAGTCAGTCTTTAAAAGTATCTTTAATTTCTGAAATTGTTTCATGGAATGAAGTTTACTCTCAGTAATCGCACAAGTGCACCAGAGAGTGCTGCATTCCTGAAATTTCTGGCTGATTGAGATTAAATGGCATTTCATTTAGAATTCATACTCCATTTCAATGTTTTATTAATTAATTGGTTAGATTCAGCTAGATCCGTTTTTCGAAGGTCATTTTAGACCAAAATATTATTTTTATGATTTCTGAAATTTTTCAAATCTATCATTTCTTCCCAAGAGTTTCATTTAGAGAGTGTGTGCATGTGTGTGCATGTTCAAAGAGCAAGTGAGTTCTATTTGGGGAAGTTCAATTCGGTAGATGCTTACTGACTACTCCGTCCTGGTTCTGTGCCGGGTCCTGGGGTAGCCGAGGGGAATGAACATGGGCCCTAAGTGAGGTTGCCTTCTAACTGCAGAGACCATGGGGGTGAATGAAGATGAGCCGTGCGTGAGGTCACCTTCTAACAGCAGAGACCCTGGGGCTTGGGGTGCATTAGCCCCGGCTGTACCTGCCTGAGCCCAAGTTAGCACTGCTGTGAGCCCTATCAAACTGGGGCTGGATTTTCCACCAAGTGTCTCATACCAAACAGGCCTAGGATATTTCAGAACCTTGTCTTCTAGCTCTGCTGAAGTGCACAACTCATTGCTGCAAGCTGCAGCCGCCCTGCCGTGCAGTAGAACCCCAGAGCTTCCTCTCCCCATCCGATTCACTTGCTTGTCTGACTGTGGCTGGGACTGAGTGAGCTGCGGACCCCAGGGACAGAACGGATGTCCATTAAAGTGGCTTTGCTCCATTTCCCATGTTTGTGGTGGGTCACAGTCCCTCATGTGGGGTCGAGGTTTCTTTGTATCTTGCCCCTGCGAGAGGTGTGGCTGTGGGAGTGAGGAGGTGGTGGCAGGAGCCAACAGGTGCTGGCCGTGGTGCTGACGCCCAGGGACTGAGTTCTGGGTGAGAGCACTACTTCACAGGGACTGAGTTCTGGGTGGGAGCACCGCTTCGCAGGGACTGAGTTCTGGGTGGGACTGAGTTCTGGGTGGGAGCACTACTTCACAGGGACTGAGTTCTGGGTGGGAGCACCGCTTCGCGGGGACTGAGTTCTGGGTGGGACTGAGTTCTGGGTGGGAGCACCTCTTCACAGGGACTAGTTCTGGGTGGGAGCACCGCTTCGCGGGGACTGAGTTCTGGGTGGGACTGAGTTCTGGGTGGGAGCACCACTTCACGAGGACTGAGTTTTGGGTGGGAGCACCGCTTCACGGGGACTGAGTTCTGGGTGGGACTGAGTTCTGGGTGGGAGCACCGCTTCACAGGGACTGAGTTCTGTGTGGGAGCACCGCTTCACGGGGACCGAGTTCTGGGTGGGAGCACCGCTTCACGGGGACCGAGTTCTGGGTGGGACTGAGTTCTGGGTGGGAGCACCGCTTCATGGGGACTGAGTTCTGGGTGGGATTGAGTTCTGGGTGGGAGCGCCACTTCACCAGGACTGAGTTCTGGGTGGGAGCACCGCTTCATCGGGACCGAGTTCTGGGTGGGAGCACTGCTTCACGGGGACCGAGTTCTGGGTGGGACTGAGTTCTGGGTGGGAGCACAGCTTCACAGGGACTGAGTTCTGGGTGGGAGCATCGCTTCACGGGGACTGAGTTCTGTGTGGGAGCACCACTTCATGGGGACTGAGTTCTGGGTGGGACTGAGTTCTGGGTGGGAGCGCCACTTCACCGGGACTGAGTTCTGGGTGGGAGCACCGCTTCATGGGGACTGAGTTCTGGGTGGGAGCACCGCTTCACAGGAGCGTGAAGAGACTGCAATGCCAGGGAGGACGGGCTGCTCCTAGCTGGCTTAGCTGCCTGCTGGGTACTCATGCACGCTTTCTTTCATCTGTGTTAATAATCAAATGGCCGTCACAGTGCACTGGGGGAAGTGGATTCTTAGTCGACAGGTAGAAATGCAGCGATGTGGCACTGATGTGCTAGTTGAAGCCATACTGTGTGCCATAACTAAGGCCGCAAATTCCTTCAGAGGTCCTGGAAGCCACAGTGTCTGGGGTTATGCTGGTTGGGTGGGTTGGCTGCACAGTGTCCTCACACACCCGTTTCACAGCCCAGGGTGGGCTAGTGGGCAGGTCGCTGGCCTTTCCTACGGACTCGAGCCTGAAATGTGTCCGTCCCTCCCCTTTGCAAACCTGCCCTCCTTCCAGGCACCATGCCGGGCAAACAACAGACTCCTCCTGCCCAGGGAAGCCTTTTCTGATTTTTTAGGGACACGGATCTGGGCAGTGTTTGTAAACTCTTTGCGTTTAGAGTCTTTGCTGTTCATCCACCTCGGTGTTTAATAATATAATCCGTCTTGTGTTTTTCTTGGATGCTTCTTTTGTGTTAATCTCAGTTTGGTGTCAACATCTTGGGTATACGACAAACGTGGTAAAAATATCCCGGATGTGAAAGATGACCCACTTATAGAAGGGTCCTTCCGACGTTTAAAACGTGTCTTGTTTTGCTTATGGGCTGGGCACACCTTCTCTCATATCTCTGAGATACGTGTAAATCCAAGCACCTTTCTGGGATCTGTGAACAGGCAGGAGCAGAGGGAGAGTGGCTGTGGATCCCTCCTCTCAGGCCTGCAACCTTCCCAGTAGAGCAACACTGGGGTCAGGGAGCCATGTGTCAGCAAACAATCCCTAGGGAGCCACTGGGGAGGGCACAGCCACCTCCTGCCAACCCCCTGAACAGCCCCAGGGTGGGCCAGGGCTGGCAGCACACGGCAGCGCCTTCTTTCTTTTGCTGGTGAACCAGTGTTGGGGTGCAGCCCTCTGTGAGGGGTTTCCATGGCCTGGCACAGCCCATCCCCAACAGCCACCTTCCTTTGCTGCAGTCAATGTGTCCTGGTGTAGAAATGGGGGTGTGTGTGAGTGTGTGTGTGCGAATGTGAGCGTATTTGCGTTTATTTGCATTGTGTGCTTGTGATGGTTTGTGTGAGTGTGCCTGCATATGTGAGTATATGCATGTGTATATGTGTTTATATACATCTGTGTACACATATCTGCACGTGTGTCAGTGTGTGTGTGTCTGTATGCGAGGGTATATGCATGTATTGTGTGTGTGTATACATCTGTGTACACATATCTGCACATGTGTGTTAGTGTGTGTCTGCATGTGTGAGTATATGCGTGTGTCAGTGTATATATGTCTGTGTACACATGTGTCTGCATGAGTATATGCATGTGTGTGTGTGAGCGTAGATACATCTGTGTACTCATATCTGCACGTGTGTGTCATTGTGCACACACTCCTACAGATGCACACACACTTGCTATGACGGAGCTTCCCTGCCCCTGGCTGTCACACATGCCCTGAGAAGCACACTCACCCCCTCCAGGTCACACGTCTAAGTGACTGGCTGGCCTTTGGCCTCCACAGGCTCAACCTGCAGCCGCGAGGAGCACTCAGAATTCACGTCTGAGTCACTGGTGAGCTCAGCCTCACCTCTCACGCCCCAGACCTGGAAAAGCCATTGAGGCTGCAGGTAGCTCTCTAGGGTCCTGGACCATTCATAACCAAGCATCAGATCAGCGTAGCCGGGATGAATGAAAATACGTGGGCTTCTTGCTGGGTGCAGCAGACACGTGTGTTGAAAGCTCTGGGTGTGTCTGGGAGTGGGACCACTTGCTGATGTTTCCTCAGAGAGCCCCCAGCAGCAAGCCTACTCCCTTCCACAAGCATGTGGCCGCCTCGTCAGGCCCCCCTTCCTCGAATGGTGTGGAGCATCAGGGCAGGGGCAGCCCTGTGACACCGCCCGAGGTGTTGAAAGCGATGGTGTCTGGAGGAGGTCAGGCTCTTCATGCCTCCGGGCGGTCTGTTCCTCCTAAGCAGATGGACCTCCGGCTGCAGGCGTGAGCACAAGGAGAGAGATCAGGGACCATCCAGAAGCCTCCGCAGACTGTCTTCTGGCACATTACAGAGATGGAGGAAGGAGAAACCCACTGCTACCCTGGCCAGGGGAGCAGAGCCCATGGTAGGCCATGCAGAGCATGGCACCTCGAGTCTCAGGACACGGGGACGGGCAGGGCTGGGGTGTGGGCGTCTCCCTGTCTCCCTTCCCTGGGGAGGAGGAAGCAGAGGTTGAAGAGGTTTTGCTGCCATATTCTAATGTCCAGGGCCGTCTTCATTTATCCAACTGTGATCTCGTCCCTGACACTTTCCCATCCCGTCATCAGATTGTCTAAATAGCGATGTTTTGTGAGCTCTTCCACAGACAGGGGTTCACACCCCGTTTCTCCTCCCGTGAGTCCTGTGTGCAGGGTTTGTTCATCCGGACACCTCCATTGCCTGAGCACTGTGGAGCCCATATCAAGCCCTCATAATAGGCAGCGACTGTGGCGTGAGAAAGGCACTCGGAGGTAATTTGTGTGCCGATGTAACCGCGGGCTCTCCAGGCAGGTCTGGACTTGCATATGTGAGACTCGTCTCAAATTCAGTTTCATATGGTTCTCACCTATTCTCATACCCAATTTTAATGGGGAACTTTCTTTAGAGGAGGTAAGACACAGGGTGGTCCATCTCCACCCGAACTTATCTAGCAGAGCAGGTGGAACAGAAGCTCAGATCTAGCAGAGCAGGGGGAACAGAAAGTCAGATCCCAGGTGCATCCTTGCCTCCCATCTGAGGCTCAGCCCTGGGCTGCTGAAGGCGCATATGCGGTGGCACAGGGGCCAACACGGCGAGAGCCACGTGCTCCGCAACTGAGGGCACCATGCCGGGGAAGAGGCTTCCTTGCGTGAGGAAGGCCCACAGAGTCCAGATTTCACTGAGAGACCCCTGTGCCCCTGAGAGCCCCAAACAGCTCATGCCTGGACTGGAAAGAGTGACACACAGTGATGCCAGTGAGTCTGAGAGCTCCTCAGTGAGGTTCTGGACATTCTGATGGGCTGCCTTGAAAGCAAAGGAAATGTTTCCTGTGATGAAAATCAACAGCTTTTGGCTGCACACCTGAGCTGGTTAAGCTGAGAAGCCATGGCAGTCAGCATTTGCCACCCCATGCAGCCCTGGCAGCTCCCTTAGAGCCATCACTGTGACCCAGCGTTCCTGGCGTCGGCCCTCATCCACCTGTCACCAACCCAAAAATGACATCAACAAAACCAACCACATCAAATGGTGGATATGTCAAGGAGTCGGTGAATTTTCTGTAAATATGTGCTGTGGGAACGTGCTGTGGATTTCTCAGGCCTACTTTTCGTTCCACTAAATCTTCTGTAAAAGCCACTGGTATGATTCCTAAAGCTGCTTCCAGTGAGGAAGTCACGCAGATGTGAGTGTGAGAGGTGGGCCCTTCCCCACCTGCCCTCGACCCCCCCAGTGGAGACATGCACCCACCGTGGGCCATGCATGGACTCCGGTGGGATGACCAGTGTGGCATCCACGTCGGCATTCTCGGCACTCCAGGGTAAACACCTCCACAGCAGCCAGGCCGTGTGCCTTCTGTAGCACCACATGGAAGCTATTTCTCATACCACCGAGAAGCCATAATGTAACATGGTAAATACATGATACATGTGTTGACACGCTGTAAAGGAAGAGACACGAAATTGCCTCACTAACACGGCTGTCTTGCCTCTCTCGCCTCTTTCCTCTGAATGTTCTTTCTTCTCCTCCCCGCCTTGGCCCTCCCTGCGGGGCACAAGTTTGCCATCTCCCATCAGGCAGTATCCCGGGACCCAGCCCTCGCAGGCACTTCCAGCAGGCCTTAAAAACACAGAAATCTTATAAGCATCTAAGTAAATCGTAGCTGTTGCTGCATTGTCTAGAAATTCAGGGCAAACCATAGTTCTAGGAACCATGGTCTGACGTTTCTGCAGAAGGGAACTCCTCATCCAAGACACGGTGGTTGAGTCACTGCCCAGATAATTTCTGGATTTCTTGGGAGCGACAAAGCAGAGGTAGTGTGGCCTTTCTCTCTCAGTCTACACCGAAGCCATCAGGAGGCTTCGAGCTCCAAACCAGCTGTGACCAGAAGGCTGGACTCTTTAGGGCGGCCTAATGAGGATGCTGCTGGAGAAACAACCTTCAGCTGGTCACTGTGGACAACGAATTTAGAAAATCGAGTTTGGCATTACATTTTCACTCTAAGACAGTCCTGTTCACACTCAGCAACACATGAGTGTGTTCTGTGGGCTGACACTATGCTGTGTCCAGAGACCCAAAACCAAACGGGACAGTGTGCTTCCTCTGGAGGAATGGGTAATAATCACGTTGCAATATCGGACATGATGGCCCAGAAAGACGTGCCAACTGCTAAATGAGCTCAGAGGAGGAGGGCGATTGTTGGTAGGGCAGGGTGCGGTGCTGGGTGGAAGTTTCTGGAAGCAGGGAAGCTTTGGACTGGTCATGACGTATGAGTAGGAGTTTGATGGATGGAGGAAAAGTCGAGAGCAATCCAGGAAGAACACATATTGTCTGTGCAGGACGCAGGACGCCCAGGGAACCCTGAGTATGATTTATGTGTTTTGTTGCTATGTTTATTTATGTCCTTCCTTGTTCCAGAGTGGGTTTATTGTGGTGCAATAAAACAAGTTTCAGATAAATAAGAAAATGTGGCTAAAAGGAAACTAAGGGAAGCAAAGTGTGGCAGAGCCGGGGCTGCGCGTGGTGACGCGGGAGGCATCAGGACCCTAGAGCCGGGGCTGCGCGTGGTGACGCGGGAGGCATCAGGGCCCATAGAACTGGGGCTTTGTGCTTTTTCCGGTAAAGAGCTCCAGGGGGGAAAACATCACAATATAAAGAAACTCTGAGCGGTGCTGGGCGTTCAGCCCGTCTCATGTCAAGCCTGGTCCTCCACATGTGCAGTCTTGGCTGCTGCATCCAAGACCACCCTGTTCCTCCCCACATTGGTGACCCCATGGGTCCCTCCTTTCTGTGGATTCGTTCTGAGCATTAAATAATGTATTCAATGAATGGTTTTGAATGTAACTATTTTTGTTAACTGGATTTATTTTGAAGATGCTGATTCAATGCTAGCATGGAAACAGTCAAGCAACTCTGAGATCTGAAGCACCTTCGTTCTGGGAAGAAAGGGTGGAAGTGAAGAAGGGAGAGGGGTGGTGAGAGAAAGGAAGGAAAGAGCTGGAGGAAAAGTGGCGAGGAGGAGGAGGAAAGGCACCGTGCATCCACAGGCTGTCAAGAACCGGCCGGTAGAAGTCTGGGCTCTTTCCCTCGTCTTTACAGACGTCCGTTATGAGGACGTTCCAGTGTGCCACTGAAACACACGCAACTCTGTGCCGGAAGCCTTTCCCAGCACAGGAAGGACTTTGGCTGGGGTCTGGGCTTGGCACAACTGGTTCAGACTAGTCACAGGGGCCTGGACACCAGCAGCCTCTGTGGCTTCTGCACCTCCGATGCATCTGGAACAGGCTGGGGCCCCTCAAGGAACGTGTCTTGCTTCTGTTGAGCCACTCTTTTCTCACCCCTAAATAAGACAGATGCATTCAGTGACCTCTCAGCTTACTAGTGAAAGCAGTGGGCTCCTCTCACCCTCTTTTAATAAACTACTTAAGAGCTGTTGTTCATTTAATACATACACACATTTTTCCTAATGTTTACTGCAAAGGAATTTAAGGAGTAGTTAAAAGGTATTGATTCTGGAATCAGAAAAACATGCTTTTCACTAGCAAAATGACATTGAGCAATTCATATTTTCTAAGTACAAGTTATCCCACCCTAAAATGAAGATATTATTGACCATATGGGAGTGAGGAGCAGAGGCAATGAGTCTCTAGAATAGTCATTGGTGATCAGTACATAGTAACCAGTAATGACAGTGTGTGACATGATGAGAAGATAGAGAGGAGGAGGAGGTGAAGAAGAAATAGATAATGATGATGATGAGGATGATAATGGTGGTGAGAATGATGGTGATGATGGTGGTGATGATGATGATGGTGGTGGTGAGAATGATGGTGATGATGGTGATGATGATGAGGATGATGGTGGTGGTGAGAATGATGGTGATGATGGTGGTGATGATGAGGATGATGGTGGTGGTGGCGATGGTGATGATGAGGATGATGTGATGGTGAGAATGATGGTGATGATGGTAATAGTGAGGATGATGGGGGTGAGGATGACAGTGATGATGATGGTGATGGTGAGGATGATGGTGATGATGGTGATGGTGAGGATGATGGTGATGGTGATGATGATGATGGTGATGATGGTGAGAATGGTGAGGATGATGGGGATGGGGATGATAGTGGTGATGAGGATGATGATGGTGATGCTGATGATAGTGATGATGATGATGATGATCATAATGGTGGTGGTGATGAAGAGGAGGAGGAAGATGGCATGCTTGGGTTCCTCATTGATTCATGCATTAATTCATCCCCCCAAAAAATGGTTAGGCAGTGGTTTCTTAGATGTGACACCAAAAGCATAAGCAACACAAGGATAAAAACAGACAAACTTTATTGACATCTTTCGTGCTTCAAAAGACACAATCTAGAAAGTGAAAATACAACCGATAAAATGGTAGAAAATATCTGCAAATCAGTTATCTGAGAAGACTCTAGTGTCTGGGTTATATAAAGAATTCTTCCAATTCAGTGAAAAAGACCAGTCAAATTAAAAATGGGCAAAATACTTGAATAAACAGTTCTCCAAAGAAGGCCTGCAAATGTTCCACTAAGTACAGGGAAGCTCAACATCATGAGTCGTTACAAAAATTCAAATCAAAACCAAGATGAGATGCAATTGCATTCCCACTAGGACGGCTGTCACTGAAGAATGGACAATGACAAGTATTGCTGAGGACTGGAGAAACCAGGCCCTTCAGAGACAGCCCATGGGCACGTAAAATGGTGCAGCCATGTGGTTTAGTTAGGAAATTCCACACAAAGTTAAACAGACAGTTACCTTATGACCCAGTGTGTGTATTCCTAAGCATTCATCCCAGAGAAATGAAGACGTATGTCTACACAGAAACTCACACACAAGTGTCCACAGCAGCATTGCTTAGCCAGAAAATGGAAACAGCAGATGTTCCCCATTAGCCCATCTGCTGGCCAAGGGATAAAGTGCAGGCCACACGTATGATGGAGCCCACACCACATACAGATGCAAATATTATGTGAAATGAGAGAAGCCAGACTCAAGTCCACCTACTGCATGATTCTATTTATATGAAATGTCCAGGACAGGCAAATCTGTAGAGACAGAAACTAAATTGCCTGGGTCTGGGGGCAGGAAGGAAGGAGTAACTGCTGATTGATACAGAATATGTTTTGGGGTGATGCAAATCCTTTGAAATTACATAGCGGTGATTCTTGCACACCTTTGTGAATATATAAAACCACCAAGTTGTAAACCTTGAAAGAGTAAATTTTATATCTTAATTATGTCTTTATTTTAAAAATCTAAAACAAACCAAAAACTAAAGACACGATCTGTACAGTATCAGGAGCATACGGTCCCATAATGGGGAGAGAGTGAGCCCAGGACACGTTGCAGGATGAGGTACGCACCCTGTGGAGACTGAACGGGAAGTACCATGGTGTCAGGACCTGGGAGAGAATGCAGTGACCTAAGGGAAGTGTCAGGACCTGGCAGGGAATGCAGTGACTTCAGTGAGGCGTCAGGACCTGGCAGGGAATGCAGTGACCTCAGTGAGGCGTCAGGACCTGGCAGGGAATGCAATGACCTCAGTGAGGCGTCAGGACCTGGCAGGGAATGCAGTGACCTCAGTGAGGCGTCAGGACCTGGCAGGGAATGCAGTGACCTAAGGGAAGTGTCAGGACCTGGCAGGGAATGCAGTGACCTCAGTGAGGCATCAGGACCTGGCAGGGAAGGCAGTGACCTCAGCGTGGCGTCAGGACCCGGGAGGGAATGCAGTGACCTCAGTGAGGCATCAGGACCCGGGAGGGAAGGCAGTGACCTCAGCGAGGCGTCAGGACGTGTGAGGGAAGGCAGTGACCTCAGTGAGGCGTCAGGACCCGGGAGGGAATGCAGTGACCTCAGCGAGGCGTCAGGACCCGGGAGGGAATGCAGTGACCTCAGTGAGGCATCAGGACCCGGGAGGGAATGCAGTGACCTCAGTGAGGCATGAGGACCCGGGAGGGAATGCAGTGACTTCAGTAAGGCGTCAGGACCCTGGAGGGAATGCAGTGACCTCAGTGAGGCATCAGCAAGAAGGTGATTCCTGGGACAGCCTCGGGAGCCTGGAGCACACAGGGACCCTCCCTTGGTGAGCTCCATTCTGGAACCGCAGCACTGTCCCCTGACACCCCCAGTGGGAACAAGCTTCCGTGTCACGTAAGTAGTCTTCAGTATTTCTCAGTGTATTATTTTTTTCCATGTTTTCTGATGTAGAATCTGTAACAGGAGCTTCACATGGGTTATCTCATGTAATCCTGTGCATTCTTTTGGCCATTGTGACCTTCGTTTAATAGGGGGATCCGGAGTCTCAGAGGCGAAGTCTCACCCGGGCGCATCAGGGCAGAGGAGCCACCTGCCCTGCGCTGTGTGTTCCTAGATCCAGATACTCCAAATAGCATGGAAGGCGATGGCTCAGCACTGCTGGAAGGAATTCTCTAGGAGAAGCTCTGATAATAGATAAAAGGTGGAACTTATTTTTTTATCTCTGGGATCCTGTGATTCAAAGACAAAATATGTGTATATTGACAGGAAGCTGTGCAAACAGCTAGTATCGTGATCTTGCTTAAATGTACATGAGAAAATCATTCAAATACCTTATGTTTAGAAAGGGTTCCTTATTCAATCCATGGTACTGGGAGAACTGGCAGGACGTGTGCAGAAACTGGACCCCTTTCTTCCACCATATGCCAAAATTAATTCAAGATGCATTGAAGACTTTAAAACCCAAAACTATAAAAATCCCAGAAGAAAACCTAGGCAGTACCATTCTGGACATGGGAACTGGCAAAGATTTCATGACAGAGACACCAAAAGCAATGGCAACAAAAGCAAAAATTGACAAATGGGATTTAATTAAACTAAGGAGCTTCTGCACAACAAAAGAAACTAGCATCAGAGCAAACAGGCAACCTACAGAATGGGAGAAAATTTTTGCAAATTATGCATCCCACAAAGGTCTAATATCTGGCATCTATGAGGAATTTAAACACATTTGTAAGAAAAAAACCATTAAAAAGCGGACAAACAACAGGAACAGACACTTTTCAAAAGAAGACATATGTGCAGCCAGCAGTCGTTTGAAGAAAAGCTCAACATCACTGACCATTAAAGAAATGCAAATCAAAACCACCATGAGATGCCGTCTCACAGCAGTCAGAATGGCGGTTATTAAAAAGTGAAAACATAACAGATGCTGGTGAGGTTGTGGAGAGAAAGAAATGCTTACACACTGTTAGCTGGGAGTGTAAAGTAATTCAGCCACTGTGGAAGACAGTGTGGTGGTTCCTTGGAGACCTAAAGACAAACACCATTGGACTCAGCAATGCCATTAGTGGGTATAGACCCAAAGGAATAGAAACCCTTCTGTGACATGCACAGACACACATGCACATGTGTGTTCACTGCAGCACAGTTCACAATAGCAGAGACGTGGAATCAACCTAAATGCCATCAATGGTAGATTGGATAAAGAAAATGTGGTATATGTACACCATGGAATACTATGCAGACATAAAAAAGAATGAAATCATGTCTTTTGCAGGGATATGGATGGAGCTGGAGGCCATTATCCCTAGCAAACTAGTGCAGGAACAGATAACCAAATACTGCATGTTCTCACCTGTAAGTAGGAGCTAAATGATGAGAACTCACGGACACATAGAGGGGAACAACACACACTGGGACCTGTGGGAGGAGGAGGGTGGGAGGAGGGAGAGGATCAGGAAAGTAACTAATTGATAGTAGGCTTAATACTTGGGTGATGAAATAATCTGTACAACAAATCCCCATGACACAAGTTTACCTATGAAAGACACCTGCGCATGGACCCCTGAATGTAAAATCAAAGTTAAAAAATGAGATACATATCAAATAAGTTTTCAAATATTCTCCTTTTGTTTGAAAAATAAGCGTGTTTCATATCCCCCAGCATTTTTCAACAGAGACGTGCAGTCCTTTTGGCATACTTTCTTTTTGCAGTACATTTAATTTTATTAGATCTTACCCAGAAATTATTCATAGCCAAATTGTTATTGAACGTTAGCTTCATAAATCACTCCTCTCTGAAACACATATAGGCGTATTTAATGGAATACCCACATCAGCAGTTCTGCCTACAGTATGGGCTGGATGAGTTAGTTGAAGCCATGTCTCAAAAAAATCAGAGATGGGAAGGAGATGACTGTGGCTGACCCCGTACAAAAGTTAGTTCTGTGTCGTTTTCCCCATAATCTTTGCAGGTAAATATGAACTTGTGGGCTGTCTTGACCAGAGGGGCTCCTAGGGAAACAGAGATGAGCCCCTGACCCTCTGGTGTCTCCCATCACTGCCCGCCCTTTTGGGCACGTTAGCAGGGTGTGCTAGCAGGTGTCATTTCCCAGCTGCAGTAGGAATGCTGTCCGCAGGGTCCCTCCATCTGCAGGCCCTGGCACATTGCCTACAGAACATGGACCTGTAGCTTATGGGAGCTGAAATCAGTTCATGCACTGTGGGATTCTAGCCTGCGGGTGAAGCAATTGAGGTCTGAGGTTTTGTTTTGTTGTGTTTGTTTTGATTTGTTTTGCTTTGTTTTATTTTTTGAGACGGCATCTCTCTCTGTCACCCGGGCTGGAGTGCAATGGTGTGATCTCAGGTCACTGCAGCCTCGACCTTCTGGGCTGAGGTGATTCTCTCACCTCAGCTTCCCAGGTAGCTGGGGCAACAGGCAGGTGCCCCTACCCCCAGCTGATTTTTCTGTACAGATGGGGTTTTACCATGTTGCTTCCCCAGGCTGGTCTCAATACCTGGTCTCAAGCAATCGGCCCACCTCAGCCTCCCAAAGTGCTGGGATTACAGGTGTGAGCCACCGCACCTGGCCAGGTTGTGAGGTTTTAAGTGACTTGTTTCAGGCAGAGACTGGATTGCAAACCTCCCAACCTCACATATTATTTCCAGCAATTTAGTGCATTGCTGGGTCCCACAGATGATGCGTTTAATTTGTGATGTATGGCAGGTCTTCCGATTTTAAGTTACATGTAATACATTGTAGTGTACATAGTGTTGACCCACTCTGTTGTTATTGAATGGTACCGAGCACAGTTCAGCTAACTTTTTCTGTGAAGGGCCAAGTAGTTAATAGTTTGGGTTTGTGGGCCGTGCGGCTCAGTCGCATCTGCTGTACATTTGTGGTAGGGTAAGTTTCGATTCCTGACAGGTACAAGTGCCAAAGGCTGGCTGTGCACCGTGCTGGCATTTCAGCAAGTGCGTTATCACATGCGAATGCTGAATTTTCTGTTATTTCTCATCCCTAACTTTATATTCCTCTCTTAACATTAATTGAAAATGACTAAGCAGAACTTCAAAACGAAAATTAACAAGCTTGTGAAATGCGGTGTGTGTGTTGAAGTGCCGGAAAGACTCATGTGGTGCCTATTTGTCATTTCTCCTGTGATTTAGCGCTGTATTTCTAAGTTCCAAGTCACAATTCTTTCCCTTACCTTTTGCTTTCCTTCTAAACTGCTTTCTGCCGTCTTTGCCGTGAGACCAGGTGCCAGGCACCAGCTGTTTCTCTTTTTCCGTAATTGTAGCCTCTGGCACATGGTCGTGCATGGGTGCGGGGTGCTGGGAGCACAGAGATTATTGAGAAATCTGTTCTTGCCACATTAATTTCTGTACTTTTTGTTCATATTTTCACAAACCGGAGACACAAACACTGGCCAGTCCTTAGTAGATGGTGCTTAATTATTCACCAAGCGTGCAGAAGTCCCCAAGACCACCTGGAGGCTCAGGATATGCCAGAAGGACACAGAAAAGCAGTGTGCATGGTTATGGTCTAGCACAGCAAAAGGGCACCGATTAAGTCCGCCACGGTGAGAGGTGCGCAGGGCAGGGCTCAGGACAGACCAGGCCTGAGCCTCCAGGTGTCTCTCCCGTGGAGTCACACAGGCAGTGCTTAATGTCCCACCGGTGACATACATAGGACAAGACTCACAGACACGGCCAACCGGAGTTGCCCACGAGCCTGTGTCCTGGGGTTTTCTTGGGGTCCATCATGTAGGCTTGGGGTGCCCAAGTGACTGAGCCTAGATGCCTGGTCTCCAGCTCCCTCAGAGGGAAAACTGGCACCACATGGCCCAGGGCCCAGGTAAGCAAAGACTCTCTCAGGCTGGAAGCCCCAAAGGCCAACAGGTTACCCCAGAGGCGCTGGTCAAAACCAGAACTTTCTTGGAAATATTAACCCTTTACTGCATGCCAAGTAAATGCACGTCCTGTTTTTCCTTGATAAAAACAGGGAAATGGTTCCGCAGTCAGCTTTTGGAGCAGTTTGCATCTGGGGGGTCGTGGGGGGTGTTAGAGGCTCCGATGTGCACGACAGTGGAACGGAGGCCTC
This sequence comes from Homo sapiens, assembly GCF_000001405.40. Taxonomy (NCBI): domain Eukaryota; kingdom Metazoa; phylum Chordata; class Mammalia; order Primates; family Hominidae; genus Homo; species Homo sapiens. The sequence continues at coordinate 62,975 of NT_187565.1, forward strand.
TCCAAGAGGCGGGGGCAGTGCTGTGGGCTTCACGCCTGCTGTGGCACGAGATCCTCCCTGCACGTCCACCCGTGACAGAGCAGATGATGCTCCAATTCCAGGGAGTAGGGGGAGCTCAGCCCTCTCACGCTTCTCACGGGTGCGAGCTCCCTGCCAGGTGAGGTATATCAGGGCTTTCCCTCCTGGCCGAGGGCAGGTGTACAGAGAAACATGGCGGACAGAGGAGACCTGCATTTACCAACGTCCTATTCACAGATGTTTCCGGTTCATTCACAGAATAAACAGGTCCTGTCTTTACAGTAATGGAGTAATGCCTGCAAATGTCGTACTCGGGGCCCTGTCGTGGGTCCATGTATTCGGGGCCCTGTCGTGGGTCCGTGTACTCGGGGCCCTGTCGTGGGTCTTTGTACTCGGGGCGCTGTCGTGGGTCCGTGTACTCGGGGCCCTGTCGTGGGGCCTGTGCCGTGTAGAATCTGTAGCTGCACACTTCGCCCAGTCTCCCCTCGAGCTACGTGCCCAGGCATTGTGGGTGGCTGGCGGGTCTGTGCAGACAACAGCCTTCAGGGTGCCACCTGCATTGCCCTCACACCTCGCACATGGCCGGGACACAGCTGTGAATCCTCCAGAGAGGTCTAGTGTCACTTTCTCTGAGCAGCTGCTCTCCAGATTAGGTGGCCATGTGGGTAAAAGTCGGGACTCAGACTCACCTGTTTGACATTAGTTACTGAAGCACTTTGTGCCTCAGTTTCCCTATCTGTAAAATCGGAATATTCACATTTTCTCCATAAGGATGTCACAGAGATTCTATGGAGTAATTCCTATGATAGACTAAGAGTGCATGTACCTCTGTGTTCAGGAAAACCCGGCACTGGTCTATCTGCTACATCCTAACGCTGGGCTCCACTCATTCTCCACTCAGTCTCCCGCGCTCCTCCGTAACCCCACACTGGTCTATCCGCTACATCTTAACGCTGTGCTCGGCTCCATTTTCTGCACTCCTCCTTGGGGATCACTGGTAACTGAGGCATCTGTGCAGGACTGGGCGTGTGTCTGACTCACAGCAGGTACAGAACACATGTTTGTTGAACTAATGAATGAGAGACTGGACTATGAAGGCTGGCCTCCCTCCTGGACCGAAATATTCCACTTCCGGTCAAAGGACAGGGTCTTGGTGAAGAGGACTCAACATCACCAGGCACTACCAGAGGGCTAGACCGCCAGTTAATCACTTTCAATAAAAGTCCTTCCAAATTTGATATTGGGACCATTCATCTTTCAGAGGAATCATTTGAAAGCTCAGTTATCTGGCCCTTTGCAAAGTTCATGACTCGGGAACAATTAGCTTAGCTGCTTATATAAATGACATAATTCGGTTTTGGTACAGTGTTGAGACCAAGGAAATTCATTAGGGCCCAGTACATTTTCTGTGAAGTAGAGTTCTGAGGAGCACTACTGTATCCTCTGCTGAAGGTGCAGGCTCAGTTCCTTCAGGGCAGAGTGTGCGGTCTGTTTCTCTGCTTAAGATGGAGGTTCAGTTCCTTCAGAGCAGAGTGTGCGGTTGTTCTGTTTCTCTTCGCCAAACACACTTGTTAGATTTCTTTCCTCTGCTGTTGAGAATAAGTACACTGCATGTAGTTTCCCCCATTTTGCCCGAGTTGCCAAATCTAAATAAACTACGTCTATGACAAAATAAACAAATGATTTCACTCTCTCTCCCTTTGTTGAAAATAGTTTTTGATATTACTTGGCATAAGTTTTTCTGTTGTACACATTTTAATCTGATAAGCCATCTTTATTGTCTTAAGAAAACACATTGTGTGGATGTAATTCCTTGGTTGTCATAGTCCTTCATGTGTGTTAACACGTCTGATCAGTGCACAGCAGCCCTGAGGGATGGGCAGGACAGGGAATGACCCCACTTCAGGAAAATGCACAGAGGGTGGTGAAGGGCTCATGCTTTGGAATCAGACAGATGTTGTTTCAAACACAAGTTATTGAAACTTTCTAGGCTTTTTTTCTTTGATCAGTGTAATGATGCTTGTAACACCTACCTCAGCATTGTTGTAAAATTAACTGAGCGTGCTTAGAGTGCACTGCTTGTCATTATCGCTAGTGGTTGCCCTATAGGAAGGAAGCAAACTCGGGGACGTGAAGTGACTCCAGGCAGGAAAGACACAAGGCAGCGCTTAACTTCCGAGCCCTTGAGCTGCCCATAGAAACAGGGTCCAGACTCTGGCACCAGCTCCTGTGTCCAGTGCAGATGGGACAGGCTCAATGCCCACGCCATGGGCACTGTGCTCATGGTGGCTGAGTGGAGGTTGAGTGCCCGGCAGAGCTGCATTTCCCTTATGGTGTCTGTGTGGAAGTCAAAAGCCCATACACGTCTGCACTGCTCTGATGGTAACTGTGTGGAGTTTGAGTTCCCATACAGAGCTGCATTGCACTCACGGTAGCTGTGTGGAGGTTGAGTTCCCCGTACACATCTGCATTGCTCTCATGGTAGCTGTGTGGATGTTGAGTTCCCATACACATCTGCATTGCTCTCATGGTAGCTGTGTGGAGGTTGCGTTCCCATACACATCTGCATTGCTCTCATGGCGGCTGTGTGGAGTTTGAGTTCCCATACAGAGCTGCATTGCACTCACGGTAGCTGTGTGGAGGTTGAGTTCCCTGTACACATCTGCATTGCTCTCATGGCAGCTATGTGGAGGTTGTGTTCCCATACACATCTGCATTGCTCTCATGATAGCTGTGTGGAGGTTGAGTTCCCATACAGAGCTGCATTGCACTCATGGTAGCTGTGTGGGTGTTGAGTTCCCATACACATCTGCATTGCTCTCATGGTAGCTGTGTGGAGGTTGAGTTCTGAAACAGAGCTGCATTGCACTCACGGTAGCTGTGTGGAGGTTGAGTTCCCATACAGAGCTGCTTTAAACTCATGGTAGCTGTGTGGAGGTTGAGTTCTCATACAGAGCTGAATTGCACTCACGGTAGCTGTGTGGAGGTTGAGTTCCTATACAGAACTGCTTTGAACTCATGGTAGATGTGTGGAGGTTGCGTTCCCATACAGAGCTGCATTGCACTCATGGTAGCTGTGTGGAGGTTGAGTTCCCATACAGAGCTGCGTTGCACTCACGGTAGCTGTGTGGAGGTTGAGTTCCCATACACGTCTGCATTGCTCTCATGGTAGCTCTGTGGAAGTTGAGTTCCCATACAGAGCTGCATTGCACTCATGGTAGCTGTGTGGAGGTTGAGTTACCATACAGAGCTGCACTGCTCTCATGGTAACTGTGCGGAGGATGAGTTCCACACAGAGCTGAATTGCACTCATTGTAGCTATGTGGAGTTTGAGTTCCCACACAGAGCTGCATTGCTCTCATGGCGGCTGTGTGGAGGTTGCGTTCCTGTACAGAGCTGCATTGCTCTCATGGCGGCTGTGTGGAGGTAGAGTTCCTACACAGAGCTGCATTGCTCTAATGGTGGCTGTGTGTAGGTTGAGTTCCCACATAGAGCTACACTGCACTCACGGTAGCTGTGTGGAGGTTGAGTTCCCCCACAGAGCTGCATTGCTCTCATGGTAGCTGGGTGGAGGTTGAGTTCCCATACACATCTGCATTGCTCTCATGGTAGCTGTGTGGAGGTTCAGTTCCCATACCCATCTGCATTGCACTCATGGCAACTATGTGGAAGTTGAGTTCCCATACAGAGCTGCATTGCTCTCATGGGGGCTGTGTGTAGGTTCATTTCCCACATAGAGCTACATTGCACTCATGGTAGCTGTGCGGAGGTTTTGTTCCTACACAGAGCTACATTGCTGTCTTGGTAACTGTGTGGAGGTTGAGTTCCCATACAGAGCTGCTTTGCACTCATGGTAGCTGTGTGGAGGTTGAGTTCCCACACAGAGCTGCGCTGCTCTCATGGTAACTGTCTGGAGGCTGAGTTCCTATACAGAGCTGCGTTGCACTCATGGTAGCTGTGTGAAGGTTGAGTTCCCATACACAGCTACATTGCACTCATGGTAACTGTGTGGAGGTTGAGTTCCTATACAGAGCTACATTGCACTCATGTTAGCTGTGTGGAGATTGAGTTCCCATACAGAGCTACATTGCACTCATGGTAGCTGTGTGGAGGTTGAGTTCCCATACAGAGCTACATTGCACTCATGGTAGCTGTGTGGAGATTGAGTTCCCATACAGAGCTACATTGCACTCATGGTAGCTGTGTGGAGGTTGAGTTCCCATACAGAGCTGCATTGCACTCATGGTAGCTGTGTGGAGGTTGAGTTCCCACACAGAGCTGCGCTGCTCTCATGGTAACTGTCTGGAGGCTGAGTTCCTATACAGAGCTACATTGCTCTCGTGTTAGCTGTGTGGAGGTTGAGTTCCCATACAGAGCTACAGTGCACTCATGGTAGCTGTGTAGAGGTTGAGTTTCCACATAGAGCTGCATTGCACTCATGGTAGCTGTTTGGAGATTGAGTTCCTACACAGAGCTACATTGCACTCATGGTGGCTGTGTGGAGGTTGAGTTTCCACATAGAGCTGCATTGCACTCATGGTAGCTGTGTGGAGATTGAGTTCCTACACAGAGCTACATTGCACTCATGGTAGCTGTGTGGAGGTTGAGTTCCCACACAGAGCTGCGCTGCTCTCATGGTAACTGTCTGGAGGCTGAGTTCCTATACAGAGTTACATTGCTCTCATGGTAACTGTGTGGAGGTTGAGTTCCCATACAGAGCTACATTGCACTCATGATAGCTGTTTGGAGATTGAGTTCCCACATAGAGCTGCATTGCACTCGTGGTAGCTATGTGGAGGTTGAGTTCCCATTAACATCTGCATTGCACTCATGGTAGCTGTGTGGAGGTTGAGTTCCCACACAGAGCTGCATTGCTCTCATGGTGGCTGTGTGGAGGTTGAGTGCCCAGCAGAGCTGCATTGCTCTCATGGCCGCTGTGCGGAGGTTGAGTGCCCATGCTCTGCTGTCTTACACTCATGATGGCTTTGCAAAGGAGCCAACCCATTGTGTATGCGGTGGAGCGTGTTGATGGATTCAGCACCAGCCAGTATCAGTCCCCACCTCACGTTGGCTGCTTCCCCATCCATGTCCTGCTTGTGCCTTTGGAATCTTGTGGCATCATCTCAGGTTTGGATTTTGGATGTGACCTGGATTATATTGAAGAATGGTCACCATGGTCTGTCGCCTTCCTTAGAGATATTTTTAAATATTCTTAGCATTCATTTATCTTTCTGGAACTCATGGTGAGATAAATTAGCTGCAGGGTGGAGATGCGGCCACTTGCTCCTGCCAAGTCACCTCAGCAGTGTGCTGCTCAGAGAGTGCTGCCGTTTTTAAGGGGCCAGCAAGCCCATCAGGTCTCTTTCCCTTCCCGTTCACCTAAACAGACACAGCTTTACAAAACACAGCTGTGTCGTACGCTCACATTAAATATTAAAATGTGGTATTAATGTAGTTGAGATACTTAAACTAGGTGTTTGAGGGGGCACTATCACGAGCCTCCCGCCGACATCCACACATGTCATGAGCCTCCCGCCCACATCCACACACAGGTAGGAAGGGGTGTTTGAGGGAGACTATCGTGAGCCTCGTGCCCACATCCACGCATGTCATGAGCCTGCCGCCCACATCCACACACAGGTAGGAAGGGGGTTTGAGGGGAACTATCGTCAGCCTCCTGCCCACATCCACTCATGTCATGAGCCTCCCGCCCACATCCACACACAGGTAGAAAGGGGTGTTTGAGGGGGACTGTCGTGAGCCTCCCGCCCACATCCACACACAGATAGGAAGGGGTGTTTGAGGGAGACTATCATGAGCCTCCTGCCCACATCCACGCATGTCATGAGCCTCCCGCCCACATCCACACACAGGTAGGAAGGGGTGTTTGAGGGAGACTATCATGAGCCTCCTGCCCACATCCACGCATGTCATGAGCCTCCCGCCCACATCCACACACAGGTAGGAAGAGGAAGGATGGTGTCTTTCCCCATTAGACCACTGGTGACTTTACAGAGAAGTGCAAACTCATCAGACACCTTGAATTGCTCTAACAACTTTTGTTGCTATATAATAAATTCTGTACCTCAGTTACATTGTATAGACTGTTTATCTTTGTTTAATATTGAAAACAAACACATTTGCCTATATCTCTAGGCAGATTCTTACAAATATGCTGTACTTTACAGAGGCTCTATTTTTTTTCAGCAACCAAAACAACACATATAACCTTACAACTAATATAAAGGGGAGCAAATTGATGACTTTAATATAGAAACCGTTTCGATATTAAACCATTTATAAGGTGCCAATAATTTATTCATATTTGTAAAATCAGCTGGTTATTAAACTGCAGGAAGAAATAAAAACATCCCCGACTACTTCATGCTCTTGTGGCGTGGAAAGGCCGCGCGGGTCCTGAGTGTGCGTGGAAAGGCCGTGCGGGTCCTGAGTGTGCGTGGAAAGGCCGTGCGGGTCCTGAGCATGTGTGGAACGGCCGTGCGGGTCCTGAGCGTGCGTGGAAAGGCCGTGCGGGTCCTGAGCGTGCGTGGAAAGGCCGTGCGGGTCCTGACAGTGTGTGGAAAGGCCGCGTGGGTCCTGACTGTGCGTGGAAAGGCCGCGCGGGTCCTGACTGTGCGTGGAAAGGCCGCGCGGGTCCTGAGTGTGCGTGGAAAGGCCGTGCGGGTCCTGACTGTGCGTGGAAAGGCCGCGCGGGTCCTGACTGTGCGTGGAAAGGCCGTGCGGGTCCTGACAGTGCGTGGAAAGGCCGTGCGGGTCCTGAGTGTGCGTGGAAAGGCCGCGCGGGTCCTGACTGTGCGTGGAAAGGCCGCGCGGGTCCTGACTGTGCGTGGAAAGGCCGTGCGGGTCCTGACTGTGCGTGGAAAGGCCGTGCGGGTCCTGAGTGTGCGTGGAAAGGCCGTGCGGGTCCTGAGTGTGCGTGGAAAGGCCGTGCGGGTCCTGAGTGTGTGTGGAAAGGCCGCGCGGGTCCTGAGCGTGCGTGGAAAGGCCGTGCGGGTCCTGAGTGTGCGTGGAAAGGCCATGCGGGTCCTGAGTGTGCGTGGAAAGGCCGTGCGGGTCCTGACAGTGTGTGGAAAGGCCGCGCGGGTCCTGACTGTGCGTGGAAAGGCCGTGCGGGTCCTGACTGTGTGTGGAAAGGCCGTGCGGGTCCTGAGTGTGTGTGGAAAGGCCGTGCGGGTCCTGAGTGTGCGTGGAAAGGCCGTGCGGGTCCTGACTGTGTGTGGAACGGCCGTGCGGGTCCTGACTGTGTGTGGAAAGGCCGTGCAGATCCTGAGTGTGTGTGGAAACACCGTGCGGGTCCTGACTGTGTGTGGAAAGGCCGTGCAGATCCTGAGTGTGTGTGGAAACACCGTGCGGGTCCTGACTGTGTGTGGAAAGGCCGTGCAGATCCTGAGTGTGTGTGGAAACACCGTGCGGGTCCTGACTGTGTGTGGAAAGGCCGTGCGGGTCCTGACTGTGTGTGGAACGGCCGTGCGGGTCCTGACTGTGTGTGGAAAGGCCGTGCGGGTCCTGAGTGTGTGTGGAAAGGCCGTGCGGGTCCTGAGTGTGGAACGGCCGTGCGGGTCCTGACTGTGTGTGGAAAGGCCGTGCGGGTCCTGAGTGTGTGTGGATAGGCTGTGCGGGTCCTGACTGTGTGTGGAAAGGCCGTGTGGGTCCTGACTGTGTGTGGAAAGGCCGTGCGGGTCCTGAGTGTGTGTGGATAGGCTGTGCGGGTCCTGACTGTGTGTGGAAAGGCCGTGTGGGTCCTGACTGTGTGTGGAAAGGACGTGCGGGTCCTGACTGTGTGTGGAAAGGACGTGCGCGTCCTGCGTGTGGCGTGGAAAGGCCGTGCGGGTCCTGAGTGTGCGTGGAAAGGCCGTGCGGGTCCTGACTGTGTGTGGAACGGCCGTGTGGGTCCTGACTGTGCGTGGAAAGGCCATGCGGGTCCTGAGTGTGTGTGGAAAGGCCGTGCGGGTCCTGACTATGTGTGGAAAGGCCGTGCGGGTCCTGACTGTGTGTGGAAAGGACGTGCGCGTCCTGCGTGTGGCGTGGAAAGGCCATGCGGGTCCTGAGTGTGCGTGGAAAGGCCGTGCAGGTCCTGACTGTGTTTGGAAAGGCCGTGCGGGTCCTGACTGTGGAAAGGCCGTGCGCGTCCTGACTGTGTGTGGAAAGGCCGTGCGGGTCCTGAGTGTGTGTGGAAACGCCGTGCGGGTCCTGACTGTGTGTGGAAAGGCCGTGCGGATCCTGACTGTGTGTGGAAAGGCCGTGCGGGTCCTGAGTGTGTGTGGAACGGCCGTGCGGGTCCTGACTGTGTGTGGAAAGGCCGTGCGGGTCCTGAGTGTGTGTGGAACGGCCGTGCGGGTCCTGACTGTGTGTGGAAAGGCCGTGCGGGTCCTGAGTGTGTGTGGATAGGCTGTGCGGGTCCTGACTGTGTGTGGAAAGGCCGTGCGGGTCCTGACTGTGTTTGGAAAGGCCGTGTGGGTCCTGATCGTGTGTGGAAAGGACGTGCGGGTCCTGAGCGTGTGTGTGGAAAGGCCGTGCGGGTCCTGAGTGTGTGTGGAAAGGCTGTGCTCCTCCTGTCCCCAGCGACTCCCCCTGGGGCTTCCTCATGGGGCCATCTCTTCCTCTCCCCAGCGACTCTCCCTGTACCTGCCCTTCCCTCCCCTTCCTGGGGTCACCGCTGGGTCTCAGCTCTTATCACTTCCTAAAAACTCTTCCCACCCCAGACAGACGTCTTAAGTGCCACCATGACATTAATATTCTTAGAGTGTTTATTATAATATCATTTTAATTCATCCAAGTTTGTAATAATTAGTAAGTATGTCAATTCCTGGAAGTTGGCCCATTTCTCTGAATAAGCTTTGAGGTAAAGACTCGAACCCTGACTGGGGCGTGGCTGGCCTTGTCCACGTTCCTTCTTTACATGACTTCTCTGCCCTGAGTTTTACAGCTCGCTGTGCCCTGCAAATGCATTTCTCCTGCCTTTCTGAGGTTGGTACTTTTCCAGCCTTGGATGCCACTCCCCAGCCCCTACCCAAGGTCTGCTCATCCCATAGTAAGTCATTCTCTGGAGACGCAGGAGATCCTGGAGGAAGGAGAGAGAAGGGCTGAGAGAGCCTGAGAATGGGGCCTCCGGTCTTCCAGCTCAGCCTGCCATTGGGGTGCTCTTTGACTGTTCCAGAGCTCTGAGTCCATACCCATGTGTAGACAGGATTGAAGGCAGATTTTGACTCAGCCGAAGGGAGAACCTGCTAGGATTCAGCAATGTCCTGAACTGGCATGAGCTGCCTTGAACAGCAAGAAACGACGAAGGACCCCCCCGAGGTCAGTGATCTGGAGGAGTTTGCAAATCCCTAAGGGTGTCCATTTGCTTCCCACACCCACGTGTGCTGTTGATTTTCAGAGGCAGGTAAGGATGTCCTGCATTAGCTTCCTTCCATCTCAGCTCCCAGCACAGGGCTGTGTGTGCACAGGAGGCTTTCTCTAGACACATGTGAACAGAGGGACAGACGGTCCTGGCTCACAGCAGTGCGATAAGATTGTTTTACTTTATGATGCTGTGAAAGTAATGCACATTCATTAGAAACTGTACTTCGAGTTCCGCACAACCCTTCTGATTTTTGCTTTCAGTACCATGGTCAATGAATTATGTAAGGTATTCACTTTATGATGAAATAGGCTTTGTGCCGGATGATCTTGCCCCGCTGCAGGCTCATCTAAGTGTTCTGAGCACGTTTAAGGTTGGCCAGGCTAAGCTATAATGTTTGGTAGCTTAGCTGTATTAAATGCATTTTTGACTTACAATGCTTTCCATTTAAGATGGTTTGTCAGGACATAACCCCATTATAAGGTGAGGGGTATTTGTACTATGATAAAAATAGAGGCAAATCTTAGATTAGCAAGCTTTTAGAAGCATGAAAATGAATTAGGAATAGTAAGAAAAATAATTTACTTAACGTAAGATTCAAATTTCTATAGGTCAAAGAACCTTGTAAACAAAATTAGAAGGCAAAAACACGACAGGAAAAATATTTGCAATACATTGACACAAAATTTTTAATACGGGAAAAATATCTCAAATCAATATGAAAAATGCAGGTTAATATCCCTAGAGGGGAAAAAAATCAGCGAAGGGGAAAAAAGCAGTTATTTAGCCCAAGAAAAATTTCCAGCGTCACTAGCTATGAAGTAAGTGGACGTTTTTTTAAAAACCTAGTGCTTCTTCTATTTATGATGGAGTGGCAGTGGCCAGTGCTGTTTATAGAAGGATGAATAGGTGCAGGCTTCAGGGGGGCAATGTTGTATCAGAAGCCTTAAAAATATTCATTAACTTCACCCAGAAATTGTAATTCTGGAAATTTACCTTAAAGGATATTCTCTCAGCATGAACCGTTAAAAACAACCTGCTCACCAGTGGGATGTAATTTAAGAAAAAGAAAATACTTACGGAGGCCAGGCACGGTGGCTCAAACCTGTAATCCCAGCACTTTGGGAGGCCAAGACGGGTGGATTGCCTGAGGCCAGGAGTTTGAGACCAGCCTGGGCAACATGGCAAAACCCCATCTCTTCTAAAAATACAAAAAATACAAAGTATCTGGGTGTGGTGGTGCGTGCTTGTAGTCCCAGCTACTCGGGAGACTGAGGCACCAGAATCACTTGAACTCGGGAGGCACAGGTTACAGTGAGCTGATATTGAGCCGCTGCACTCCAGCCTGAGCAACAGAGCGAGACACTGTCTCAGAAAAAAAGAAAGAACGAAAAGAAAATACCTTGGAATGAAAGACTGTGGGGCCATTAAGATGATGCTGTGGGTGAAGGTGGAAAGTCACGGATGATGCTGCGGATGAAGGTGGAAAGTCACGGATGATGCTGCGGATGAAGGTGGAAAGTCACGGATGATGCTGCGGATGAAGGTGGAAAGTCACGGATGATGCTGCGGATGAAGGTGGAAAGTCACGGATGATGCTGCGGATGAAGGTGGAAAGTCACGGATGATGCTGCGGATGAAGGTGGAAAGTCACGGATGATGCTGCGGATGAAGGTGGAAAGTCACGGATGATGCTGCGGATGAAGGTGGAAAGTCACGGATGATGCTGCGGATGAAGGTGGAAAGTCACGGATGATGCTGCGGATGAGGGTGGAAAGTCACGGATGATGCTGCGGATGAGGGTGGAAAGTCACGGATGATGCTGCGGATGAGGGTGGAAAGTCACGGATGATGCTGCGGATGAGGGTGGAAAGTCACGGATGATGCTGTGGATGAGGGTGGAAAGTCACGGATGATGCTGTGGATGAGGGTGGAAAGTCACGGATGATTCTGTGGATGAAGGTGGAAAGTCACGGAAATGTGCGTTGTATGTTTTAAGTGGCAAAGCCGAGCAGAAAGCACCGTGAAAGCGGTGACACTGCATGCCCGTGACAGTGGTGGCACCCGCGTGCTGGCGTGACAGCGGTGACACCTGCGTGCCAGTGTGCACAGCACAGGCAGAGAGCACCTGTGTGTTAACAGGCAGTAACAGGGGTTGTCTCTGGGTGGTGAGATTGTCGGAGATTGTTTTTGTTTTTTTATCTAAGCAAGTATGAGTGGTTTTTTGTTTTTGTTTTTGTTTGAGATGGAGTCTCGCTCTGTCACCCAGGTTGGAGTGCAGTGGCTCAATCTTGGCTCACTGCAACCTCCACCTCCCGGGTTCAAGCGATTCTCCTGCCTCAACCTCCTGAGTAGCTGGGATTACAGGTGTGTGCCACCATGCTTGGCTAATTTTTGTATTTTTAGTAGAGGCGGGGTTTCTCCATGTTGGTCAGGCTGGTCTTGAACTCCTGACCTCATGATCCACCTGTCTCGGCCTCCCAGGGTGCTGGGATTATAGGCATGAGCCACCGCACCTGGCCAAGTACGAGTATTTTTTAATGAAAAAATAAAACAAATGCTTGATTGACTGGTAGCCACAGAGCTCTGAACAAGACTGGTCCTGTCCCTGTGGACAAGTGCCCCACAGCTGTGTGGCTCCCTGTCTCCTCCCACAACCCCCACCCCACGGTCCTGGCCATGCCCACCAGCCAGTCCCTCAAAGCTAGTCCCCTTCACTCCTACCCTAGGGTCCCTGTCTGCATTATAATCACCTGTTCATATTCAAATTAAGCACATTCCATGCACAGGCAATTCAAGTACATGCGTGTTGGGAAGCACCGGTGGCCTCACCCAAGGCTCCGCATTTGGGTGTTTGTGTATTTCCCCCCTCCCTGCCTTGCATGATCGGGGCCACTGCACTGTCGGTCAGTATGGGGCGGCCCTCACACTACGCCAGCCAGTGCAGGTCCCTGGACAAGGTGGGCCCCACTGGGAGTTGACGGACGGTTCGTGTGGACCTCACAGCCCCTGCATGGCTCTTGCCCTGTGGTTGATGCTGCTCTGTGGCCCCCTGGAGAGGCTCCCTTTGAAAGGTTTTGCTCAGGGACATGGGACCCGGGGAGCCATGGTGCAGAAAGCTCACCTGCTGTCAGCTGTCCTCTGGTTTTGCAGCTGTATCACTCCCCTCACCTTACGGTTTCAACGTTTACAGGCAGTAAAACAAATCCTCATTTTCTAGATGTTTAAAGCTCATTAAGTTTAGGATGCCAACCAGAAAAATAAAACCATGTGAAACCACAAGCGCTTTCAGGGGAAATGCCCGTCAGAGGCTGCAGTGGGCGTCTCCAGGGCTGCGGACTCTGGGTCCTGGTTCTGTCTGTGCTGGTGGCCTGGGATGGGAAGCCAGGAAGCGCTCCTCCCTCGGGGTCCACACTGTGAGAGTTACCCTGTGGCCCCCCAGGCAGAACATGACGGAGATGCGCAGGAATGGCAAAGTACGAGGGGAAAACAGACAGTGGGATATGGTGAAACCGTGACGGTTGGTGAATGAGGTGAGTATGAGCAAACGATCATTCGCCACAATGTAACCCTACAGTAAAGGGTAACAGGCAAGGCCAAGTATGGATGAAAAACAGACAGTGGGATATGGTGAAACCATGACAGTCAGTGAATGAGGTGAGTATAAGCAAAGGGCCGTTTGCCACGATGTAACACTACAGTAAGGATAACAGCCAAGCCCGCACAATGAGGAAACACCTCGTCTTCAGGGTGTGCCCTTGTGTCTACAGTGCCCGTGTCTACAGCGCACGTTCATTCGGCAAACCCGCGAGCAGCTGCGAGGGCTGAGGCTGTGCTCATAACCTGGAACACACAGCGGGGTAGGGCTCAGAGCTCAGAATCTGGCGGGAGAAATCATCCTCCCTGTTAACGTCTGTTCTGTTTGCAGACTTTGATCCAATGACATTAAAGCAGATGAGCCACCCAAAACTAATATACAGTGTCTACTGCAGAAGACGTGTGCTCTTCACCAGTCTGTGGACCAGGAAACGAGCCGCTGGGGATCTCAGTCGCAAGGGTGCTCAGGTGGCCTTGGTGCAGACACTCACAGCTCTCAGACTGCAGAGTGTGCCGGTCCTCGGAGAAGGGGTGTCCTTCAGGGCAGTGCTTCTCTGGCTGATGCCACAGACTGGCTAGTGGATGGCCAGACTCATCACACTGACACCCCTGTTCACCTAAACCAGATACAACCCCTTCCTGATGCATCTGTTGGTGCCAAATCTTTTTTTTTTTTTTGTAGCTTTTTATTATTAAAACAGTCACTGCAATTATCAGGAGTCGTCTAATGTACAGTGACTGCTATTCCTATTGCTGGTGAGTGAGAATATTAATACCATCTGTAGTAGTGAGACAGCAAATATTTCCCGCCTCACAGGTGCCCTGGTATTTTAGTGCAGAAAATATTCTTACAGTTCCCTGGAAAGCACGCTTTATAAACTCTTACACATTTTCAAAATAAAGATTTTTTAAAATAAACCTTTTTGTCTCTGACGGATTTTAAGTCTCATAACATGAGACGTCAGCCTTGCTGCGATACGCAGCACCACACCAGAAGCCTCCAGCAAGCGCTGTGTTCTGCTGTGGTTCTGAGCAGCCTCGTAGTGCCATGCAGTGCTCTTCAGACATACGCTGGGGCTCAGGGCTGTGGGCCTCAGAGCACAGGGAGGGGGCAGGTCCCCATGGGGAGGAGCAGCTGCCCCTGCACCTGCATCTAACTGACATGGATGTTGGCTCCCCACACTGTGAGCACCTGGGTGTTTCTGGCTCCTTTACTGCTGAAATTTAGGACAGACCCAATCGACTTAGAGAGCTGTCTCAGGACTCCTTGACAAACCAAATGGAGGAAGGAGGGGAACAGCTGGCAGGTGCTCCAGGAGTGGGGGCACAGGCAGCGTCAGAACGCAGCCCCCTCCCAGGAGGAAGTTGGGTAGAAGTGAAGATTGTAAAATAAAAGAGAAAATCCAGGTGCATCCTTTTCTGAAGTAGCTTTGTAGGTGAAAAGTTATTCAAAAGGATGTGGACGCACAAAGGAGAAGGGGCTGCGAAAGGTTTGGTGAGTGGAATGAGGTGAGAATCTAAGTAATTTCACTGAAGTATTATCTTAACGTCTTCATTTCCGATCAGCAGCTTTTGTTGCAAATATGTCAGGTTCAATCGTAGATTACGGGAAAAAGGCAGGATGGACAACTCAAGAGATCTGGTGTGGGACCCAGGCCTGGGGCTAAAAATGTATTGATCGGGGTTTTGGTTAAGGAGGTAGATTTTAGCTGTTTCTCCACACTCACAGACGTAACCATGTGAGGCAAGGGCTGCGTTCACCCACTTCACCATAGTCACCATTTCCCTCTTTGCATTCCTTAACATCACGCTGGAGACCTCAAATCTATTCAATAAAACTTAGTGCAAGAAAGAGGCCTGCAGTGAAAGCAGCGTTTGGACGGCTCTTTGATGTTGGTGTTGAGGGTTGGCCGTGGTGAAGAAGGCTTCTGATGGGCAAAGTGTCTTTAGGAGAAACGTGTTATCCCCACTGTGTAATCTGGAACCATGCTGCGCAGACAGGGGCAACCCTGGCCTATTCTTCTGCGGTGGGCTAAGCGGGGCTGGGCGGCCTGGAACCGAACTGCCTGATCAGGCCACGTTTGTCATCAGAGGCAGAAATCAGGAGCCCTGCGGCAGGGCGTGGGCTGTCTGCCACACGAGGGTGAGGTCCAGAGACTCGGGAATTCTCGGTGCAGAGGCCCCAAAGGGAGAGAGTCTAGCTGGTCAGCAGCAGAACCTCTGGGCCAGCGGGTCTGAAACTTCCCTGCACATCAGAAGCTGCTGAAACACAGAGTGCAGGACCCTGCCCCCAGAGCTTCGGATTCGGCAGGTCGGGGTGGGGCCCACGATTCTGCATTTCTAGCAAATTCCCAGGGGTTGCTGAGGTCATCAGTCCGGGGACTGCACGTGGAGAACCACCCCTCTAGGCCACGTATCCCTGCACCATAGAAAGGAGGGCCCAGGACACCCTGGAGGACAGACACCTCCTGGTAAACTCAACAGGAAAATCCACCTCCCGGGACGCATCCCCTTCTCCTCGCTGCCCTCCCTGCTGGGAAGACCCTGTCCTCAGGCGGTCCATGCGCCCTGGTTAGACGCCTTCACCCAAAGAGAGGCCAGGCACTCCGGCGCAGTTTAGGAGAAAGGAAATTGAGCCTGTGCTGCCCTGGGCTTCAGAGGAGGACAGTTTTCTTTTTTAAAACAGGAAGTAAGGACAGGTTGGAGCCCAGGAACGTGGGCGTGGGGACACGGGTGGTGCAGAGCTGCCACTGGCCTAGCCTCCTGGCGAAGGGGCAAGCTGGTTCGTGGGGACCACCCGAAGGCCTGGAGGGATTTGGGCTGAAGCCCAGGCCGCTCAGCGGGAGTGTGTGCTGTGGAGTCCCTGGTGCAGAGGCTGATGCTGTCGGCGGCTGTCCCTGTGGGTGATGCGGTGGCGCTGGCAGATAGCCATCCCCTCCCAATCCCACGGTAGACGCTGGCCTCAGCTCTTATAAAACCCGCGCGTTCCCTGCGCAGCGTGGGACTGTGGATATTGGAGGGAGGGCATTAGTATTCCCTTGTTGTGATTTGGAAACTAAATGGGCTTCATGGACTTCTCCTTAGGGTTTCTGTCACTCTATAAGCCTTGCTAGATGAAGATACAGTGTTTTTCTGTCCATAAATTTGTTAAAGAAAATCTCTTGGAATTTTGCTAAGGCAATTGGAGAGTGACTTAAACAGGACCGTCCTGAGTTCGTGGACGAGTCCACGGGTCCTGCCAGCACACCTCAGCATCGCCGGTGTTTCAGCAAAGAATCCAAAGAAGAACAGGACCATCGCGAGCCACTTTCCGCCTCTTCATCCCCGTCCACTGAGGAAATCCACCGAAGCCCTTTGTGTGGGGTTCGGAGGAGAGCGGGTTGCAGGGACTTGCCTTCTGGGTGTGACCTTGGTGCAGGTGCATAAGGGTTAGCGACTCCTGCTGCTTCCCGGGTGTGCTCAGGGGCGGGGCTTTTCCGGGGCGGGGCTTCTCCGGGGCGGGGCTTCTCCGGGGCGGGGCTTCTCCGGGGCGGGGCTTCTCTGGGGCGGGGCTTCTCCGGGGCGGGGCTTCTCCGGGGCGGGGCTTCTCCAGGACGGTGCTTTCAACAAATCACCAGCCCAGGGTGCAGCTAGAGGCTTTGCGCTGCGTCTGTCTGAGCCTGTGTTGGAGTAGAGTGCATGGGTGTCCTCCAGGTGCCCTGAGTGTTTTGCCCACTCCAGGAAGCAAATTGAAGGGACCCTGCCCCACTGCATGCGGACGTGGCTCAGGGTTGGTTGTTTGCCCTCGAGGGGCAGCACGGGACCACGGCTGTGCCATCTGGGTGAGCTGGGCTGGCAGGTACCCCGAAAAGCACACAGGGAATCCACAGGAAATCCACCTCAGCCAGGGACATATGCACACCCCCCACATCCTGAAGGCAACTGCAGCTCTCAGAGACCGAGAAACACACACCACACCGCCCCCACCATGGAGATCGGTGGCCTCGTTCTTCCGGTAGCTTCCAAACTCCTGTTTGATCATGATGGTCTGTCTCTTGTGTGGCCTGACACGGTTGCCCAGAGGCACGAGGAAACAGTCGCCCTGAGGCAGGGCGTGGGCCGTCTGCACACGACGGTGAGATCCAGACAGAGACCCGGGAATGCTCTGGCCCCACCGGACACGTGAACACGGTTTCTCGCCTCTCATCGCTCACGTGTTTCAGAAGCACAGTGCCGAGTGTCTAAAAGGGAAGTGGGTGATTACAGAAAAAGTTTCCAGGCTTAAAATTTCATCCTGAGAAGGGGAAGGAAACTCTTCTGTGATCCTTTCCTTTTAAGCTTTGTGTGGGCAGTGGCCGGGACCAGCCCCAGGCTGTTCACAGTGATGGTGCAGACGAGCTGAGATGGTCCTTGGTGGTGACTGCCTGGGGCCTCACCACACCAGATTTGCAACAGTGTCTGCAGGGGTCGAACCACCAACTGCAAATGTGTAGCCCTGACCATGGTCCCTGCGGCAAGGTGACTCCCCAAGGACAGCAGAGATCCTGCTTCTCCAGTCGACATTTCATGGATCACATTCTCCCCAACACACAACTTTAGAGTAGACTTTTATCCCTCCACAGTCTCTACTTCAGATGCTATTTATAGGACTTGGATTTATCTTTCTTAGTGCTTTATACAAATAAAAACAAACAGAAATCTATGTGTTGCCTTTAAAAATTACTCTAATCTCTGTAGTTTTTCCCCTTATCTTCAGAACTAAGGTAACACACGGCTCTGTAGGTAGCCGTCTGGTGCTGAGAATTGCATAAACATTTCTTCAGCTTCTTCTTGCTCGTGATTGTTTTAGAAAAATGATGTTAAATATGTTACTGAGCTTGATACATTCTTAACTCACTGCATCGTTTAAACGGAGCATGGGAGCCCCCCTGGGTCTGACTATTAGCTTTCTCCATTTACTAAATTGATGTCAAGCACCTTCGCGCAAGGCCCTACACGGTAACTGAGCTATGAGGAAGCTGCGAGTGAGTCGGAAATTTGTACAAAAATCCAGTGGAGGAGAAAACCCTCCAAGAATCCACCTCCGTGAGTCAAATTCTAAGAGAAACGTGCTCGCGGCGTCTTCTAGTGCAGGCCTGAGCCCGGCTCCCACGGTTTCATTTCCGCTGGTTCTGTGCTCTCCTGGGCACTAACTGTGCTGCCCCAGCCTGGCAGGTCTCCTGGGAAGAGGTGGACACCTCCTGGCTGCAGGACACCTCTCTGGCACCTCCTGGCTGCAGAGGTGGAATGGCCCCTTCCGTGCTACGGTGGCAAGTTCGGTGTCTGGGGTTAAAGTTTAGGAGAATGAAAGAGAATTCAAGGAGAGCGGTACAGCTGGGACTCGGGGAGTTAGCGTACTTCAAACCCAATTCTGTGATCTGAGCCTTCTGAGGCATCCGCAGCGCCGTCTCGGCACTGGCAGGGGAGGGCAGGGGCGGCCGAGGTGGCAGCGAGTCCTCGGGAACTGTGGGTGGGACCTGGTGTTCCCCACAGTGGCAGCTCCACTCAGGGCCAGGCAGGTAAACGGGTCGAATCCTGGGTCTTAGGGATGTGGCCTGGGTTTGGACCCAGGTCCTGCCACTTACAGCTCTTGACCTCAGGTAGGTTGCCCCTTCTTGATCTTCCATCTTCCCATGTCCCATGCGGACAGCAGTCCCGCCGTCACAGCGCCCTCGGGAGGCTCGGTAAGGGCTGGCGTGGTCCATGTGCAGCCTCCGGCGGGGACACCCGTCAGTGTCCTCATTTCCCCTTACACTGTGTGGTCCCCGTGAGCCTTGGCTTCCACACTAACCATGGTCTAGCCCTGATCTCTCACGGCCACAGTCACCATGGAAAATTCTGACGCGAGGCCATCTCTCCCCTTAACACCAGCACCGTCCTCAGCTTTCTCTGAAAGCATTTTACAGTGGCAGGCAGTGCTGAGCCCCGAAATAACCTAAATCTATTTTCCGCCCATTTGCTTTTTAATTCAAGAGCCAAAGCCTTAGTGTCAAGCAACAGCGTCCATTTCTGTACTTCTTTGACCCCATGCATTTGGGATTAGGAGGCGCGACCGCCTGGGCTTCTGGGCTTCTCCTGGTGAATTTTGTTGAACGTTTCAAAGTCAGTGGCTAGTTTCTCTTGTCTTTTCCCTTCTCTTCTCGTCTTTCCCGTCTGTCTGTCTGTCCTGCTGGCTTTCTTCACTTCGGGGCAGCACCCTCAGGGGATTTGAGGGCCTGGGGCAGCCATGGAGGAAGCCACATCTCAGCCCCACCGCCGGACACAGGCCTGAGCCACCAGATCCTCTAAGCTTTAAAGAGAAGCCAAAAATCTGGTTTCTGTCTGAAGTCTTCTCATTTTTAGAAGTTGGCAAGTAATTCATAAAAAGAAAATACCATGTGGGCCACACAAAACCATCTGCAGGTGGAGCTGGCTGCCAGGCTGCGGGCACCAGCCTTCCTTTCTGGGAAAGAAATGGAGATTCACACGAAGGTACGGGCAGCACAGGCAGCATCCCGAAAGCGCCCCCACGCCCATGGCATGCTTGCGGCTGTCTCTCCTGCCTCTGCCTTGCAGGTCCCACGCCCGTGGCATGCTTGCGGCTGTCTCTCCTGCCTCTGCCTCGCCGGTCCCACGTCCGTGGCACACCTGCGGCTGCCTCTCCTGCCTCCACGTCGCAGGTCAGGAGGACAGAGGCACCTGTAAGCCCTCCGTCCCCCACACGCGTTTCCTCCACCACCCAGTGATGGCCTTGTCCACAAAAAGCCATCCTGGCAGGAGCTCAGGGCACGTTTCCCTGCAGGGATGGTGGGGTCCCCGGCATTTCCAGAGGAACTTGGTCCTGGCTGTCTTCTCACAGCCCTGTCAGGCGACATTGGGATCTGGACCTGCAAATCTCCTCTGTCTTCTGGCCCTCTTGACCTTGCTTCTGGGTGGGGACAACAGTCAGGACATGGAGAGAAGCTGGAGAGAAGGAAAGAGAACCCGACGCTCTGGCAGCTCCTCTCTGGTGGCTGAGATGCATCCTTGCTGTGTGGGAACCACGGGCGACTGAGCCAGGCCTCAGAGGCTGCGGGTGTGACAGAGCCCGGCTGCCCGTGGCAGGCCTGGCCTTGGCCTGCCACGTCTCTGGGAGGCCTCTTCTGACCACCTGCTCCCCGTGAGGTTGTGCCGGCTGGGGGGTCCCTCCCTGACAGTGACAGCCAGGCTATTGGCCATGGCACAGTAGGAGTCAGGATGCCTCCCCAGCCCCTCATCCTCTGTCAGGTGCACCAGGTGGTACCCCTCACTGATCCTCATGGAACCCCATATGGGGGTCTTCCTCACTCCTGCCGCCTTCAGGTGCAGACCCCACCTTTGGGATAACACAGCTCTCGGCCCCACCCACCTTCCCTCCTGAGCCCGTCTCCCGTGCCTCCTCCCACTGGATGACATGTTGCATCGAGGAGCCCTGTACAGAGGGGAGGGGCGGACGGTGCCCCCGGGCTGGATCCCAGCTGTGGGTTTTGCCTCAGGTGGCCTTGAAGCCAGCTGCCCCCAGAGGAGGGGTGCCCTGTGCTCCAGGTGGGGACAGAGCTGGGGTGAGAGAACCCAGACTCAGAATAGGATCGTTCTCGTGATCGTCAAGGGCTGCCACGTGCGGAATGAGGAGTGGTCTCCTGCTGTGGGCAGGCCTGGGGGCCTCCTCCACCCCGACCTTCAGGAACCCCAGATTCTGGTGAAAGGGCACCGCTGCGAGAGGGAGGCGGGCGCCGGTCATGGGAAGGGCGGGGGGGGTGCAGCGAAGCAGACACATTTTCCCTGGAGGACTGGGGCTGGCGGGAAGCGTCTCTCAACTCCATTCCCTCATCTTCGCAGCAGGGGCCGGCGTGCCGCCTCTTCAGTGGTTCTGTCAGTGACACAGATGCATTGTGTCAAAGTGAAAATTGCTCTGGGCAAAGCTCGACTGGCAAGGAGGACTCCAATTAAAGCTTGCGTGGGGGAGACAGGCCCGAACTCAGCCAGAGCTCAGCTCCCCTTGAACGAAGGACGAGAGGGCTTCTCAGAGCTGGAGAGAGAGGGGACGCTGTGCATTTACGTCGGAGTTGGGGAGGCTCCCAGGGCTTTGCGTTTGCTGATCAGCCTTTTCCAGAGGAGGAGCAAATTCTCTTATCTTCATGGCAGGGGGTAGTTTTAAAACTTGGAACAGCAGCGAAGCTCCCACCTTCCTCAGAGACTGGGCACAGGGCCCCACTCCCTCCATGCCTGTGTTCACAGGGATGGGAACCGGGCCCTCAGAGACACGCACAGCTAGGAAGAGCCTGGCAGAAGATTTACGACTGAGATGACCATAGAGAAACCCCGCAAGGACACGTTTTTATAAAGTAGATGCTCTACGAAGCGGGAGGTCAGGGGCCTGCAGTCAAGACAAAGCCATCTGTGGTTCGGGGCATTTGAGGGGTGTGTTAGGACCTGGGTGGTCACTTCTACCCGGTCCACACCTGCACCTGGGAGACACTCCTTAGGGACCCCTCACTCTCCCAGAGCCTCAAGCTCCGGGGATGTGTGGCTCAGGTGCTGAGCCTGGGATCTCCGCACCGAGGCTGCAGGTGGCCCAGGGTCCCCAGATGCTGGGAAACAGGCACAGGGGAGCAGGGAGATGCTTGGATTCCTGCCTCTCCACTGGCTCTCCTCTCCAACCGTGGAGGGGGAAGGGGCAGATGGAGCTCACTGGAATCCACAGGGCTCACTCCTAATGAAGAAGAAACTGCAGTTACTGAGCAGGTGCCCTCCCAGGTCCAGGATGGCAGGTCCGGCAGAATGTGGATGGCTTCGGGAAGTTTGCTCGCCGAGATAAAATAATTCTTGCCACACTAAAAGCTGCTACCTGGATGTCCTCTAGCTATTAATGGCATTGACCTGTCTCCAAAACCAAGCATCCAAGTGTGCCGAGCCAAGCAAAATCAATCTCGGGTCCCAGTAGATGGAGCCGCTGCAGCCAATGTCACTAAATTTCTAAATTTCCTGGGAGTTCTGAGGCCCACGCGGAGGGCGAGCCTGTGAGAAGGCACGTGGGGGACCAGAGCTGTGCCATGTCTCATGTCGGGGCCCTGGGGGGCCGCAGCTCAGACGTAAATACACAGTGTCACCTCTCTCTAACTCCCCAGAATAAACATCTGCCCAGGAGGAAAAACAGGTGATGGCAGAAGCCACATGCCTGTAGCTTCACGTCTCTTTGTGGAGAAATTGCTCAGATGTCCATCATCCTTGGGAAACCTCCCCTCACGGCACCGTCCAGCCTGGCTTCTGCCACAGAGGTGCCATCCCAGGAACCGCAGCCGGGCAGGGGCAGATGTGCCTTATGTCACTGTGCACCCGAAGGCCAGACACTGTGCTGGGGATTCATCAAGTTTTTACAAGTTGAAAAGTTTCCTATTTTCTTTTTCTTTCTCTCCTTTTCCCTCCATTTAAACAATGAATTCTAATGTGCTGCTTTCTGTACTGTCAATATTCATGCATTTGTTTATTCCTTCATAAAGTAAACATTTATCACCCATTTGTACTATAGCCAGTGCTAAGGACTGGAGATACAGGTGCATGAGACATGTCTCCTGTTGTTTAGGAATTCCCAGGCTGGAGGGGCTGCACACCCAGGGACAGAGAACTGTCATTCTGCAAGGGCATGTTGTGAGAGAACCAAGCGCACTGTGTCCTCAGGGCAGCAAGAACAGACGTGGGTCCCCATCTGAAGTGGGGGGCAGCCCAGGAGGCCTTCCTGGAGTTGGTCTTCCTGAGCTGAGGCTTTGGGGATGTTCAGCGGCTGACCTGGGACAAGGCAGAGGTGTGAGGGGAGGGATGGGGCAGAGGCACCCCGGCAGAGCAGTGTACAGGGGCACAGGAACAGAGCAGGGGACCCAATGGCGTGGAGAGGTGGCAGAATTCACTTGGTGCAGAAGAAAGGGGCAGGACAGGAGGTGAGCTGGGAAGTGGAAAGA
The DNA here is from genome assembly GCF_000001405.40 of Homo sapiens. Lineage (NCBI taxonomy): Eukaryota > Metazoa > Chordata > Mammalia > Primates > Hominidae > Homo > Homo sapiens. The sequence continues at coordinate 85,925 of NT_187565.1, forward strand.
GATGCCTGCACCCCACAAGGATGGAGAGCAGGCATCATCCAGGAGGCTGGACCTTCTGTCTCGGGTCCCCGCAGCACGTTTGCTCAGAATAAGAAAAATGTAATAAGGGGGTCTGTGGTGAAGTGAGTTACTGAGAGATGCAAGAAATGCTAATAACAGTGTTAACATTTACATGGCAACCCCTCCAACACACATGCATGTGACCACAGACCCCGGTAAATAACACTGTTAGCATTTACATGGCAACCCCTCCAACACACACGCACGTGACCACAGACCCCGGTAAATAACAGTGTTAACATTTACATGGCAACCCCTCCAACACACACACATGTGACCACAGACCCCGGTAAATAACACTGTTAACATTTACGTAGCAACCTTTCCAACACACATGCACATGACCACAGACCCCGGTGACTATATGACTTATGAACTGCAGATCATATTTTGAGAAACAGTTTATCTTAGGAATGGGGGGTTGGCCATTGAATCAAAATGCAAGAATTTTGACCATAGCCTGGTGACTTCCTAGGAGTCACCATAGGTGACATAACACAGAACATGCAAACTCAAAAGCTTTCTCTAGGAATTGATGCCTGAAGATGATTCTTTTGGATTCTCCTTTTCATCTCAAACCTTTTAAGATTCTGCTGAAAACTTGTTCCTGTCTCTCTGGGAAAATCCACAGACCAACTAGCACACAAAAATTAGCACACACTAATGGGCGTTGTGGCTCAGAGCCTCATTCATAACTCCCAAGCCCAGCACGTGCCTGTGGAGCAGGCGGAATTCCAAAAGTCCAGGCACACCCTGCTGGGGGCCGCAGAGGACAGTGGGATCGTTGTCACCTCCCCTCTAGAGCTGCTTTCACCATTCTAAAACATCAGGAAAGGCATAGCTCACATGTTGCTAAGAAAAAGCATTTTGGAAGGTAATTGTGGTTGCTATGCATGGAAACTATGCTACGTCTTAGTTTTGTAACAAAGAGTGTTTAATGCGTGTCTCATTTAAAACGGTTCCCTATTGCAGCACGTCCTTCACTGCAGTTCAGAAAATCACTCTGTTGTGTATTTACGGTGTATTTGGATTAAATATCAAGATTGTATCACAAATAGCAAGTTATTTAGCCTTTATCTAGACATAAATCATATATAAACTGGTAAGAGAGAGAAGAGGGGGCAGAGAAGTCAGATACCCGAACAAGCTCAGTTGTTCCGGATGATCTTTAGTGCCTGGCATGGAGCCAGCACAGGCTTTGCCGTCAGGATTCACCTCCCTCCTCAGTCACCAGATGGGGACTGATTGGTTTTATTTTGGGGATTGACTCTGCTTTCACATTTTAACGTGCATACCTATCACGGCGGCCTCCTGTGTTGCTGTTGTGTTGAGTGCTGATTGTATGTATGTAGGCATGTGCGTGTATGCATGTGTATGTATTTGTAGTGCACATACGTGTGCATGTGTGTGTGTATGTGCACGTGTGTGTACGTGTGTGTCCATATATCTGTGTGCAGGTGTGTATGCATGTATGTGTGAGCATGTGTGTGCGTGTGTGCAGGTATGTGTGTATGTGTGTGTATTATGTGTATGTGCATGTGCATAGCTGTGTGTGTGCATGCATGTGTGTGTGCATGCGTGTGTATATATGTGTATGGGTGCATGTGCATATGTGCATGTGTGTGGGTATGTGTGTGTGCATGTATGTATGTGTGCAAGTTGTGTGGCCACACGGGGAGCTGTGGGCAAAGCTCTCCCCTATGCTGTGCTCTGAAAAATGTAGAAATACAATGAGGTCTATCACAGTAAATATTTATAGAATATACCATCAAGCCTGACCTCCATTTATTAAACATGGGCCTATTTGGGGAGGATTAATAATTAAAAATGGATAAAGGCAAATCTTTCAAGATGACTAAGATGTTTATGAGTCTTTTTGTGCGTCTGGTGCCGTATATCAATTTTTTATTTTTGGCATAAAGCATGTGGTATGCTACAGCGTTACCTCATTAGCTGGTGATCTAATAATTCATTATCTGCTGACTCCAGAAATACAGCCGCAGCAGCCCGTGCTGGCTTGAAATCCAAGGCATCTCTGCAGCATGTAGGTAAACTTTTACTTAGCCTGGAACCATCTATTCCTGATGCTCTCCCAGCACAAAGGTCAAATTGACTGCGATGGCTCTAAGTGGCGTCTTCCTGTAATACAGCATCCACAACTGATCGTCCGTTCCTGTGCCAAACGCAGGTCCTCCGCACATACTAGGTGTCACCCTCAACTCTGTGCACGTGACGCCCGGTGCCCGGAGTGGGACACAGGTAGACACTGAGCTAGTTCCCGCACACACAGCCCCTTCCTGCTTGGAGCTTACAGCACAGCAGAGAATGCAGAACCCTAAATCCACATTGGAATTCCACAGTTCTATGTTATAAAATAATGGACAGCTTTTGATCAAAGCTTTCAAGGCTGGTGTTCCTCTGCTGGGGCTGTCATTACAAAATTCCACAGATAGTGTGGTTTCAACAACATTTATTCTCTCATAGTCCTGGAAGCCAGAAGTCCCAGATGGAGATGTGGGCAGGGCTGGATTCCCAAGGCCTCCCCTTGGCTGGCAGACGCTGTCTTCTTGCTGTGACCTCACATGGTCATCCCTCTGTGTGTGTGTCTGTGTCGTGATCACCCCTTCCTGTAAGGACCCCAGTCCTGTTTGATGAAACCCTATCTTCACATGCAGTCACATTCTGAGGTCCTGGGGGTTAGGAATCTGGGGGCCACATTTCAGCCCCTCACAGTTGGTTTTGCACCAAGAATTCCTTCCCCTTGTTTCCCTGTCTACTTCATTTGGCCTCCAGTGTAAATTCTCGATGTGCCTGTATCTTACAGGACGTCCCATTCTGCTACATTCCTTTAGGTGGAATGCATGAAACTCCATTCTCACATCTAAATCACACCCACCTTGCACGCCCTGTCCAAATATCTAGGCTCTTAGGAAGGCTTTTCCAACTTACCCTAGCCCTGCCAAGTCCTGCAGCCTCTGAACTCTTTTAACATTTTGCATCTGTGCAAAGCACACAGCAGTGATGTAGGAAAATGCCGTGGTTCTCTGATGCTCTCACGGATCCACAGTAGAGACTTGGAGGCGCGAGGCGCAAGGCACAAGCCTGGCGGGAAGACGCCGTCCTGGGGCGTGCAGAGGCAGCCGCTGCAGCCTGAGGAGGTGCCGAGTGTGCAGAGAACGTATGAGCCCTGAAATCTCAGAGTGATGGGGGCCTTAGGGCTTCTTCACGCAGTTGCCCTCGGACCTGAGTTCAGCAGCATCCTCCCCAGTTGCGGTCCAGCCCCCGTTGGCCATTTCTCGGGGTGACTAACACTGTCCCTAGGCAGCTTTTCTCCCACAGGTCTTCGGATATTTATGACAATTGGAAAGCTCTTCCTCGAATTGAGCCCTAGTCTTTCCCTGAGAGTTCTCTCTCAGTGTCCTCAGCACTGCCCTTCAGAGTGGCCGACTCTGAAGGCAGGTAGAAAATGGAGGTGATGTCCCACGGTGCCTGGCTCTGACAAGTTCTCAGCAGTTCCCCGAAGGTCGGCAGCAGTCACACGGCGTGATTCATCCCAGCCAAACCCTTGCTCTCCCTGGGCAGGTGGGGTTGCACCATCTCGTCACCACCTTAATACCCTCCAGGACTTCTCACTGTTTATCTTACCATTCATGCTTTCAAAATAGTGAGGTGGAAAATGAACTTAAAATAGGTTGGGGCATTCCACTCTCCTTTATCTTCTATTTAAAGCATCTATACTTAAGTAACAAGTCACATTTTTTTTGTGTTTCATTTGCTTAAAATAAAATGCTGAAAAGTCAATTTTACAAAAGAAGAAAAGCTGTCTTTTATCACCCTCTGGTTGCTACAGGGAGCACGGGGAGCTGTCACACCCAATGAGGATTAGAAGCCATCTGAAGGCACCTGTTCCTGGGATCACCCCAGACAACCGCTCCACTCTTGCATTCTCTTTCTCTGCTTTGCTGGTGTATGTAGGAGCCGGACTCGGCACCCAGGCTCTGAGGGTTACCACTGCCTGGCCTGGGGCAAGTTCCACTCCTCTGTTTCTTAATCATTAAATTGGGCATAAAAGATGAGTAACGCACCACACAGGACTGTTGTAAGGATTGAATAAGTTCATCTGTGTGTTAGGTGCCTAGAACAGGGCTTTACACCATGGATAGAATTTGAATAAGTTCATCTGTATGTTAGGCGCCTAGAACAGCGCTTTACACCATGGATAGTAAGTAGTTTATGTGTCAGCCACTTCTAATACCATTCGTGTAATATGATTGCATTAATTGTCATTGGAAGCAGCCCTGGCTGAGGCACTGTCATTGCTTTTATAAACCATCCTGCATGTTTCTTGCCTCCCAGATGCATGTGTCAGCTCCTCGAGGAAGAGAGTAAGACACGTCTTTCTTTTGCCTCCGTCCTGTATGCATTAACAGTCTCAGCACCTGGTCAGCAGTCCTCAGACAGGCATTGAGGGGAACTAAACGGATGCTGTCTTTAGCCGTAAGCCTTTCATTCGGCCTCTATTTCTAGTAACTCACTCATTTCCTGACTTGGACCTGGCTGGTGCTGTATCCTCGTGGATGGCATTTGCGCCAGGGCAGAGGTTCAGAGCAGTTGTCCGCTTGGCAGAAGTCAGGCGTGGTTCCTGGACTCCAGGCATGGGAGATGGACAGAAAGGCAGGATGACTCAGGCTGGTGCTCTGCCCAGCGCGTTGCTGCCCGGTCACTGCAGGTTTAATATGCTGTGGTGGTTTGTGGCTTCTGTAATTGGAAATGTCTTCTGCAGAACTCTATTATCCTCTCACTTCCCGTGACTTGATTGGAAAAGAAGGAATTTGAAGATCTTTTATGTTTTCTTAAATTTGATGGTAATGAAACTGGATGTTGAAATTTGAGGTGAATAAATCATTGCTAACAGGACATCTCAGGGCTGAGCTGGAAGAATAGAATTGTGGCAGGGCTTTTAGCTCACATGTCATCGCCACTTGAGAGGGGAAGTGGATATTTGTGCATTTCTCATATTCCACGTGCATCGTGGAACTGTCCACTCACCCTGGAAGTGGGCTTGACTATTCTGCATTTCAGGATGAGGAAGCTGGGCCCCACAGAGTCTGGCATCACACAGATCAGCGACAGAGTGCAGGGCCCTTTTCAATATGCCACTTTTCTCTGAAAAGAGAGCCAGGGAGAACAGAAAAGAGTTTCTTATGAACATAGACTTGGCATTTCAATGCTGCAGGTCAACTTAGTGGTGCAGCCTGCTGTCTGTGCAGGTGGGAGGCCTGAGGCACACACTGCTCAGGCACCTGCCAGGTGATGGGGTGGGCAGCTGGGGACAGCTCTGGGACCTGGGCCCTCACCTGCAGGCACCTACACAGGTGATAGGGTGGGTGGGGCGCAGGTCACCGTGGCGCCAACGCTGGGGCGCAGGTCACCGTGCTGCCAACGCTGGGACGCTGGTCACCGTGGTGCCAACGCTGGGACGCTGGTCACCGTGCTGCCAACGCTGGGACGCTGGTCACCGTGCTGCCAACGCTGGGACGCTGGTCACCGTGCTGCCAACACTAGGACACTGTTTAATGTGCTTCCAACACTTACCGAGGGCCGACTCTGCAGGCGAGCAAAGCAGACACCGTCTTGCCCTCACTCCTCCCTCTCCTGGTGTGGGGAAGACAAATGTCGTGCGAGTCCCCTCCACAGCAGGGCTTCTCACCCTCAGCTCTCCTGACGTCCGGGCTGCATAATTCCTCTTCATGGGCACCGTCTTGTGTATTGCAGGGTTTTAGGAGCATCACTGGCTGCTGCCTGCTAGATGCCAGGAGCTCTTTGTGAAAGAGGTGCAAAGACTTTAAGCCGCTCTCCAGAGTGACCTGTCTGATGATTCAAAGCCAGTTATCTCAATGCTCTTCAATAAGTTGGACATGGACGGCGTGGGCTAGAGGAAGATCAGAGAGAGATAAAACTGTGATATATTTCCAGTGTTTCATCATTAAACTCTTATTAATTGTACTGCAGTAGAGGCAGTATATTTTCCCAAGCGAACATGGCGTTAGATACAGCCACATCAAATTCATTTCAATGCCAGAATTCCTTCAGCTGTGTTTCATTCTTCCTTGTGAAATCTTAGGGATTCAGTCTAAAGATCCGTACGGGGCACTCTGAGTGTGTTATTCCATGTGTCAGTGAAGGGATGTGGGGTTATGGCCACCTACGTGGCCACCTATGCAAGATGACAGTTTCGCTCATAGTTGAGCCGTCCTTGAAGAACACCCACGTTCCTCCTGTTGTTTCTTCTGGAGTGCGGAGGCTTCGCTGGTGAGTGATGACCCCGAGACCTCCGTGCCTGGGGGGGCGCCAGCATGTGGGGCGGGGGCGTCTTCATGGGTCTCATTTGCTTTGGCCGTTGGAGCGTTTGCATTTGCTGCCGTTTGCTTGAGTGACTGCGCAGCAAGACTCTGTGCTGGAGAAAGCCACGCCCCTCGGGGGGAGGCGCCGCCGCCACGCGCGTGCGGCCCGGAGGGTGTCGGGAGCAGGGGCCGCGGGCGGCAGCTGACGGGCGGGCCCTTCCGGAGGCGCCGCGCCTGGACCGTGGCCGCAGGTTGGGCAGCGCCAGACGCAGAGCCCTGTGCCGCTTGCGTCCCCGGGCTTCCTGCCCGACAAGGACGGGGGGCCGGACAGAGAGCCGTGTCGGCCGAGACCCGAATCCGGGATCAGGTTTGTGTTTCTGTGGACACGTCTGCCCACAAAGAGGGCAGTGGGCAATTGTTCTCTTCACCAGAGAATGGTTTTTGTCAACGTTCAGTGAGATCATTTCACCAGTGAGGTGGCCACAGCGGCGCTTTCTCTACCCAAACCTCGCTTCCTCTCGCTGAAGGGGTTCCAGTCTCGATCATCAGTGAAGTCCTTCCACATCCATGGGGCGTCCACCAACTAGGAGCTTAATCAACACAACGCTGTGGCCTCTCCAGCTCAGGGACGTGCCTTTCCCGTGTCTTCTTCTCACACACAAACGTAGCCTGCAAGGAAGGTCAGGTTCAATGCACGGAATCTACCCTGCTGCCCGCTAGGAGGTCATATGTGTATCACAGACCCGCAGAGAATGCTCTCCACAGTACATGAAGCGCGGTACAAATGGAATGAGTGTAACGGGCATTCTCTGTTTGAAAAAAGTTATCCCAATTGAATAGTCGGTAATTTCTCTTTATTGTAACCCAATAGATCACAAAATGCAACCTGAGGTTTAAGCTGAGGGGTGGGGCGTTTGCAGAGGGCTGTGTGGTGGAGGTTAGGTTAGGTTTGCAGACGGCTGTGTGGTGGAGGTTAGGTTAGGTTTACAGAAGGCTGTGTGGTGGAGGTTAGGTTAGGTTTACAGAGGGCTGTGTAGTGTGGAGGTTAGGTTAGGTTTGCAGAGGGCTGTGGTGGAGGTTAGGGTCGGTTTGCAGAAGGCTGTGGTGGAGGGTAGGTCACGTTTGTAGAGGGCTGTGTAATGGAGGTTACGTTAGGTTTACAGAAGGCTGTGTGGTGGAGGTGGGGCCTTCTCCCTGCCCCACGGTGGTCCCATGCAGCCCGCAAAACACCCATGTTCGGCACGGGTCCAGTGACCTCAGCAGGGAGGCAGCTCCCTGATTACAAGACCAACTTTTGTTCTTGGACCAAAGCTGATTTTGCCTTCTCTGTAGGATGATTGCGCAAAAGGTCACCAGAGTCATTCTGAAAGCAGCAGGAGTTCTGAGGCTTCTGTTCGCTCCAATTTACTTAACAAAGGGCATTCAGGTGGATTTGTTCAGGCTGTGCTTTATGATTCTCTGAAAATTAAAAATCCTTCCTGTGATGTAACCATGTGGCAGACGGAGAATCTGCCTCAATGTAGGAGTTAAAGATTTGAACTCCAAGTTCATTTCTGAGTCGTTTGGATTCTGTAATTATTCATCCTTTTTGACTTTGTTTTACTTTGCATTATCAAAATGCATAAAGTGGAGACTGGACGGTGGAAATCCTGCAGGGCACCGAGGCACCTAACGTCAAGGCTTCAGTCCGAATCGGTCCAAGCAGAGGCCACTCAGGAAAGCAACTGTGCGTGGGACTCCGGTGCCGCACGGCCTGGCACTTCGTCTTCCGTGACTCGCCTGTTTCACGAGTGGGATCCCAAGCCCAATACGACAGCCAGGGCATTGTCCTCACTGACAGCAGGTGGTCGATCTCAAGCCCAATACCACAGCCGGGGCGCTGTCCTCACTGACAGCAGGTGGTCACTGGGGAGCATGCTACTGAGGTGCTGTTCATCTCCAGGAAATTAGATTCTTAACATCACCTCTCCACGACCTCAGAACTGAGCCCCCACCTCCTACATTTGGGTTAACGACACCTCTCCACGACCTCAGAACTGATCCCCCACCTCCTACATTTGGGTTAACGACCCCTCTCCACGGCCTCAGAACTGATCCCCCACCTCCTACATTTGGGTTAACGACACCTTTCCACGACCTCAGAACTGAGCCCCCACCTCCTACATTTGGGTTAACGACACCTCTCCACGGCCTCAGAACTGAGCCCCCACCTCCTACATTTGGGTTAACGACACCTCTCCACGGCCTCAGAACTGAGCCCCCACCTCCTACATTTGGGTTAACGACACCTCTCCACGACCTCAGAACTGATCCCCCACCTCCTACATTTGGGTTAACGACACCTCTCCACGGCCTCAGAACTGAGCCCCCACCTCCTACATTTGGGTTAACGACATCTCTCCACGGCCTCAGAACTGAGCCCCCACCTCCTACATTTGGGTTAACGACCCCTCTCCACGGCCTCAGAACTGAGCCCCCACCTCCTACATTTGGGTTAACGACATCTCTCCACGGCCTCAGAACTGAGCCCCCACCTCCTACATTTGGGTTAACGACCCCTCTCCACGGCCTCAGAACTGAGCCCCCACCTCCTACATTTGGGTTAACGACACCTCTCCACGACCTCAGAACTGAGCCCCCACCTCCTACATTTGGGTTAACGACACCTCTCCACGGCCTCAGAACTGAGCCCCCACCTCCTACATTTGGGTTAACGACACCTCTCCACGACCTCAGAACTGAGCCCCCACCTCCTACATTTGGGCTGTTTCTCAAATAAGACAAACATCAGCCATGAAAGGAATCAGAATGAGGCAGTAAACTCAGAAAGAGTCCTTGAAGCCCAGCTGTGGGTGAAGGGCCCGGGACGTGCTGTCTCATAGCTGTGAGCCACCTCCTAGGAGACAAACCAGGTCTCTGTGCCGTTTCTTCTCACTCCATCAGCCAGCTCCTGTGCACCGCAGTCCCTCTAGAGAGCATCGGCCACGGGGGCCTGCAGAGAGAGGAGCTTCCTTGAAAAGCGCCCCGCTGCATGGCCTCTGTGCCCACCTGCTGGTGGCAGTGAATCAGCCTGGAAGCTGGGCTGACCTGCGCTTCAGAACTCAGAGCTCCGACGGAGCTGGAGGCCGTGCTGGTACAATTGAGGCGCTTTCAGAAGAAGACGCTCCCTTTCAGAAGCTGCTCTCCTCCTGCTGAAGAAGGGGGAGCCGGGTGGCAGTGGGGAGCCGGGTGACAGGGACGTGCCAGCTCACAGGGCTGCCAAGACCCTCACTCTGACCCCGGTGGGATGTGTGGTCATCGGCGGATGGCGGGGACAGGGCTACCGAGACCCTCAACCTGAGCCCGGTGGGATGTGTGGTCCGCAGGTGGGGTTCTTCTTGCTACTGCAAGCGTATTTGGCCGTGAAAGCGAAATGTGCACGGGTAGGAAATGGCCTCAGAGCAAGGCCCACATCGAAGGATTTGTCATGGCCCCTTCTGCAGACGCAGTTCTGAAGGAATGGGAACTGATTTGTAATCACACCATGCAATTAACAGAGTGCATCAGGGACCACATGCTTCAGCAGAACCACAGTGTCAGTTACTGTGCGCGGTCCCTGGCTGCTTACATTAGAATAGGGCAGTGAGATGCCTGCCACTTCTGCAGGGAGCTTCCAGATAGGCGTGTGCGTCCCAGCGAGAGGAAGTCCTCGGGGCCCAGCCCCACAGCACCTGTCCCTACCTGGCCCCTCCAGGTCAGTGGTGTGCAGCTGTAGGGTTAGGGCAGCAGAGGTGTTTGGGGCCAGCCAGGAGGGGGCTGCTTAATGCACAGGTCTTCGGCCGAGCGCAGTGGCTCACGCCTGTAATCCCAGCACTTTGGGAGGCCGAGGCGGGCGAATCACGAAGTCAGGAGATCGAGACCATCCTGGGTAATATGGTGAAACCCCGTCTCTACAGAAAATACAAAAAATTAGCCAGGCGAGGTGGCAGGCGCCTATAGTCGCAGCTACTCTGGAGGCTGAGACAGGATAATGGTGTGAACCTGGGAGGCGGAGCTGGCAGTGAGCTGAGATCGCACCACTGCACTCCAGCCCGGGCGATAGAGCGAGACTCCGACTCAAAAAAATAAATAAAATAAAATAAAGATGCACAGGTCTTCATATCCCAGGAAAGGTGAAGCTGGGAGGCAGAGGACATACCCCAGCCTGTCAGAACCCAGTGTGCCCTGAGGGCCTGTGAGGAGGGCCTTGCCAGCGTGGGGGTCAGTGGATCTGAGTGCAGCTCCCTCCTGTCTCCTCCCAATACCATATAATATTGTCAGCTCTGGTATTCTTGGTCCAGCACAGCTTCTTCATGTTTTTCACCTTTGTGATGTAAGAATCCAGCTCCGTGCAGAACCCGAGCATAGGCACGGAAGTGTGCCCGAGGGGAGGCCTGGAGCCTGTGTCTCTTCTGCGAAGCTGCACCCACCTCGTCTGTCTGGGGGTGGCAGCCCCAAATCAGCTGATGGAGTTCACGCACCCCTGTGCAGACGCAGCCTCCCCCAGGGCCTTTGGCTGCCGTACACCCTCAGGCTTGGTCCCTCTCAGCAGCCACTGAATCAGACAGCTGCCCCAAGACCTGACTTGCACTGTACTCCTGCTGAAGTGACCCGTCTCAAGATATCTGGACGCAGGTGCACACCTGGCCTCACTTGTCCCTTGCACGTATGCCGTATGTCTGACTTTGTCTGTCTGTCCTGCGCACACCTGACCTCACCTGTCCATCCTGTGCACACCTGACCTCACCTGTGTGTCCTGCACACACCTGACCTCACCTGTCCTTGCCACACACACCTGACTTCGCCTGTCTGTCCTGCACACACCTGACCTCACCTGTCCTGCGCACACCTGACTTCACCTGTCTGTCCTGCACACACCTGACCTCACCTGTCTGTCCTGCACACACCTGACCTCACCTGTCCTTGCCACACACACCTGACTTCGCCTGTCCGTCCTGCACACACCTGACCTCACCTGTCCATCCTGCGCACACCTGACTTCGCCTGTCCATCCTGCACACACCTGGCCTCACCTGTCTTTCCTGCGCACACCTGACCTCACCTGTCCCTGACACACACAGCTGACTTCGCCTGTCTGTCCTGCGCACACCTGGCCTCACCTGTCCATCCTGCTCACACCTGGCCTCACCTGTCTGTCCTGCGCACACCTGGCCTCATCTGTCCGTCCTGCACACATGGGTTGGGCGGGGACAGGCTCCATCTTCCTCTGTGCTTTCATCACCCTCATTTTTGGAAAGTCACACGTTTTGCTTTCATTCTAATTTCCATTCTCACTTTTTCAGTCTTTCCTTATGCAGTTTCTGGCGTTTCCTTCATTTCCCCAGATTCTTTCAAATCCTGATTCTCTTCTCTGAGGAGTCTGTGCCGTCCCCTTCAGGGCAGTGTGGTCGGCGGGTTCAACACTCATGCTTCCCTGTCCTTTGGCCTCCAAGTTGTTAAAACAGTCAATCACTTCTAGCTCAGGGTAGCTCATTCTTAGCCCCATAGGGTCCACCACAGCATGTGTCCCCTTGGGCTGACATTGGGCTATGGATAAAGCTTCTTTTTAAATTAAAATGAAAAAATTCAATTTCTTTCCCAAAAAGGCTTAGTTAGCTTCTATGGCTACAAGACCAGGAAATGCACAGCTAGGTGAGGAGACAAGGCCAGTTCTTCCCTGAGCCCTGCCTAGACTGTGGCACGTCAGCCTCGCGGGGCCACCCGCTGCCATCAGCCCGAGTCCTCCTGCCTTCGCAAATTTTAGCTCACGTCCATGCAGTGCCGGCTCTGTGCCAGGCACAGGCCCGAGGGCCACATCTTCGCTAAGTCACCAGCTCAGTGCGAGGCATGGGCCTAAGAGCCGCGTCTTTGCTAAGTCATGTCCCTGGCACAGCCGCCCCACACGGCACGTACGCCGACATCCCTTATCTAGGAGGTGGAGAAACGGGCAGGGAGACTAAATACCTCAGACCAAGGCAGCCTCCGTCTGCCGAGGCCTCTCCTCATGGCGAATTTCCTCCTCCCGCTTCCTTCACTCATTCACCGAGCCACCATGCGCCCTGCTGTGTATACTGAGGCGTCATATTCAGTCTCTTCTTGTAAGAACCGTAACCGCTGTCATCATTTTTAACCAGGTCCCTGGAAGTCTTTGTCACATAGAGTTGGGAAAACTCAGTCCAGGCCCTGAAAGAGTTTACTTTCTAACTGGCGGGGACCCCGCACTTAACGTCAGGAGCCCCCAGTGCCGTGAGTGACTGAGGCTGGCATGGCAACCGTGCCTGGGAGAAGGGAGGTTGTGCAGGGGCTGACAGAGAGTGGCCAACAACCCCATTTCCCTGCTTGGTGGGGGTCTGCTGATTTCGGGGTGTCCTCCCTTCCCTCCCCTCCTGCTCGGTGGGGGCCTGCTGATTTGGGGTGCCTTCCCTTCCCTCCCCTCCTGCTCGGTGGGGGCCTGATTTTGGGGTGCCCTCCCTTCCCTCCCCTCCTGCTCGGTGGGGGTCTGCTCTTTTGGGGGTGCTCTCTTCAATTCTCTTCTGAGCCCGGCTCCATCCCAGCATCTGCACCCTGGTCAGGAGATGCCTGCTCTGCCCACTGCTGTGTCCTTGGGGCAGGGGCTGCCTGTTCTGGGTCTCATTCTCTTTTATGTCCCAGCCAAGCCGCTGGTTTGTAACAGTAGTTCAATAAACACTTTCAAATGAACATACATAGGAATCCTGAAAAGAGTACTCGAATGTGCAAAAGGGTGTCTCTCAGCACTTCAGGCAGCAAAGCGCTTTGCAGAGACATGAACGCGAGTGTTTGCTGTGCGTGTGGGGCTGCTGGCACCGACGGGAGCTCAGGCTTTGTTACTTCCTGCACCGCAAATTACCTGCACCTGGTTAACGGAAGCAGCCGTCTCCAGAAATTATGAAATAAATCGCAGGTTACTTCAGAAGCATTTCAGTCACCATTGAGTTGAACTAAGGAGACTTTGGAAAAGCACAAATTCGTGCATAAAACTCACCCCTCCAGTTGCCAGAGATGCTCAGCTGCACAAAAGACTTGTGATAAGCGAGGCTTTTTTCTGAGAAAGTGTGCGGGCCTTTTGCATCTCACCTGGTTACAAAGCGACGTGAATTAAAGTCCACATGAAGGATCAGCATGAACACCCGACCACATCTTACTCCAAATTGCTTCTGAAATTAAAAGTTCGCCGAGGTGTCATGTTCACTGGGGACTCTCTGTAGCACTGAGCTACTTTGAAAAATTCTTTAATTACACGCTTGCGAAAGTCATGACTATTGGTATTAACTGGGACACAGGGATAGCTATTTCGAAAAAAGTGACATTGAACTCACAATACCTTATCTTATTAAATTCCATGGAGACTAAAAGTTTAAACTTAAGAAAATAAAGCCATAAGAATTGCAAAATATGATTTTGGTGACCATTTGTATCATCTCAGAACCGGTTAGGATGTTTTGAACATGATTCAAAAAAAAAAAAAAAAAAAAAAAAACACCCAAAAGGCCAAAAAGGAAAAAGGTTATTCTTTACATTTGATATTTTTATATTTATATTTTACTTAAATAATATAAGGAGTTCCTTTCTAAATCAAAATTAGACTTAAGAGGCCAATTAAAAATAAAGGTCACGGCGCATGGTGAGGAGTTGCTGTTCGTAACCGACGGAAAAGGCTTCATACGTGAACACGGCTGGACAAGCAACCAGAACAGGTGCTTCCCCAGGATGTCCAGAAACAAGCAGAGACCGTGAAGGACATTTAACCTCACCACCAATTCCATGTGTGCCCATGAAAACAAGATTCCATTGTTGGCTGACAGATTGGCAAAGATTAATACTAGCCAATGTTAGCAAAGACATGAAAAAATGGGCCGTTACGGTTCCTGCTTACTTATTAAACATTTCTGTGGGCCAGTTTGGCAATTTGAACTGAGCGTAACTCTTTTGTACTCAAGGAGTACGACATGATGATTTGATGTCTGTGCACCTTGTGCAGTGATGACCACAACTGGGTAAATTAACACACCTGTCCTCATCCAGGCTGGACGGTGCAGCCCCAGACCTTGCCCATCCTGTGACTTGAATTTATATCCTTTGGTTAGCATCTCCCCGTTCCGCTTTCCCTGGGCCCTGGCGCCCACTCTTCTACTCTGTGCTTCTGGGAATCTGGGTTTTTCTAGTTCCACAAGTAAGTGAGGCCACTCAGTGTTTGCCTTTCTGTGCCTGGCCTATTTCACTCAGCATCATGTCCTCCAGCTCCATCGCGTTGCTGTGAATGCTGGGATTTTCTTCCTTAGTAAATCTGAGGGTTATTCTAGTGTGTGTGTGTGTGTGTGTGTGTGTGTGTGTGTGTGTGTGTGTGTGTTTGTATCACATTTTCAAAGTGAGCGTAGCCATTCAGATAGGAATTCCATGTCTACACATTTACATTAAGGAAATATAAAATGTACGTTTCTTGTCTGAACCCCAGCACCAAGAATGATAAAGTCTACACAGTGTTTTTTAGATTACATTTATGCAATCTTGAAAAAAATCAAATAAATACACAGTTGACCCTCATAAAAAAGCAGGGCTTAGTGGTAGCAACCCCCTCATGCAGTCAGAAATCCGCATATAACTTTTGACTCCCCCAGACTTTACTGCTGATAGCCTCCTGTTAACCAGAAGCCTAAGCAATAATACAGTCACTGACACACATTGTGTTTGTTACATGTATTACATGCTGTATTCATACAGTAAAGTAAGCTAGAGAAAGAAAATGTTATGAAAATCATAAAATACATGTACTGTTTATTAAATGGAAATGGATCACCACAGAGGCCTTCATCCCCGTCTTCACGTTGAGTGGGCTCAGGAGGAGAAGAGGGGTTGTTCCCACAGTCTCAGGGTGGCAGAGGAGGAAGAAGATCCCCGTGTGAGTGGACTCCAGCAGTTCCAACCAATGTTGTTCAAGGGCAAGTGTGCGTGAATATATGTGCAGAAATATGTATCATCGGTCAGGCGCAGTGGCTCACAGCTGTAATTGCAGCGCTTTGGGAGGCAGGGGCAGGAGAATTGCTTGAGCCCAGGAGTTTGAGACCAACCTGGGCAACACAGTGAGACCCCATCTCTACAAAAAAATAAACTTTTAAAAAATTAGCAGTGCAGTGGTGTGTGCCTGCAGTCCCAGCTACTTTGCAGGCTGAGGTGGGAAGATTGTGTAAGCCTGGGAGATGGAAGCGGCAGTGAGCCATGATCGTGCCGCTGCACTCCAGCCTGGGCAACCCAGTGAGACCCTGTCTCAAAGGGGAAAAAAACAAAAGAAATGTGTATAGTTTACATTGCTTATAGCAAGAAATCAGAAGCCATATTGAATGCTTCATCAAAGAGGACTGGTTGAATAAACTTTAGTATATCCCCCCCAAAAAAGTTCTATAGCCAATTAAAATTATGGAAGGGATGTATGTATACAAAGTGTGTGTGTGCGTGTGTGTGTGTGTAGAGAGAGACCCTAATCAATGAGAAATTATACTTACTATGTTAATTAATCAGGCTGATACAATTAGCATATGCGGTGTCATCTTATTTTTGTGGAACACAAATCGAAGGATCTTTGGACGTAAGTATTCTCAGGTGGATGTGCATCGCCACGTGGGCAGTGCCATATCTATGTTGTGACATTGCAAGGATCATCCCCTTTATCTATTTTGGCAAATTTATAATTAAGTTTGTCAGGTATATTCATTAATTTTGTAACGAGAAAAATAAGGGATTTTTATTTTGAAAAAAATAATTACACGCTTTCTGGAAAGTCATCAAGTTCTAAGGTTTGGAGAATATGTTACAGTATTTCAAATTCTCAAATATGGAAAAGGTGTTGGAAAAGTGCTGCTGCCGCCACTTCATGCCAGATGCTAAAAACATAAAGGGCAGCAATCCTGAATGAGAAATGCATTAATAATCTCAGACTTTTATACAGAGATTCTGTCAAATGGTACGGTATGTGTTAGCCCTGCCTTGTACACACGAGAACACGGATGTGGAGGCTGATAGGCCTTCGCTCAAGGAGGGAAATGGTTTAGGGACACACAGTTGGCGACGTTACCGGTCTGAGGAGCTTTAGCCTTCCTGCCTGTGTTGTATTTTTGGGGAGGCTCAAAGGCTGCTTGATTAACGACCAGATCCCAATTCCATGGTTCCCCTTAGTGGCTGGGGCTGGGACAGGTGCCGTCCACCTGGCCCAGGGCTGAGGCTCTTCTCTGTAAGGTCAGTGAAAACTTTGCAGTATTAGAATGGCCACGTCAGAGCCTATATTAACTTGACATTAACAAGAAGCATGAATTAAACTCCTGGTCAGATGACCACCAGCAGCTCCCAGCGAGCACTTTCCAGCAGAGTAAACTAATGAATCTCTTCACTCTTCATGGGTGAGAGAGCGGCAGATGTCTTTGGCGGTGGACTCTGACAGGAAGGTCATTTCACTCCCATTCTCTTCTCCGATGTGTTACATTCATGAAGGAGACCCACAAATGCATGTCTGGGGTTTTGGTGTCTGTACTTAGTGATAAAATATGTGACCCCAAGAAGAAAGGGGTTTTCGTTATTCACTGGCTCATTCAGACGTTGGGAAACAGTATACACTTATTTAGGCATCAATTAATAGAAGAATTAGGTCAGAATTCATTAGGTTACCAGGCCAGGTCTGTATTTTTTAAAGTGAAAGTTACTGTGACCAAAGGATTCATAAAAGTTAAGGGATGAAGTGGCCTTGGATGCCATTTTCAGAATTTAATTTCTTTCCTGGAAAAAGCAAGAATTGTGACTGCACAGTCGCTGCACCCTCCTCTGCCGTGGCCTATGCCCGGCCCCTGAGAACTTGGTGCACAGTTACCCCGGCCTGTGCCCAGCCCCTGAGAACTTGGTGCACAGTTACCCCGGCCTGTGCCCGGCCCCTGAGAACTTGGTGCACAGTTACCCCGGCCTGTGCCCATCCCCTGAGAACTTGGTGCACAGTTACCCCGGCCTGTGCCCGGCCCCTGAGAACTTGGTGCACAGTTACCCCGGCCTGTGCCCGGCCCCTGAGAACTTGGTGCACAGTTACCCCGGCCTGTGCCCGGCCCCTGAGAACTTGGTGCACAGTTACCCCGGCCTGTGCCCGTCCCCTGAGAACTTGGTGCACAGTTACCCCGGCCTGTGCCCGTCCCCTGAGAACTTGGTGCACAGTTACCCCGGCCTGTGCCCGTCCCCTGAGAACTTGGTGCACAGTTACCCCGGCCTGTGCCCAGCCCCTGAGAACTTGGTGCACAGTTACCCCGGCCTGTGCCCGTCCCCTGAGAACTTCATGCACAGTTACCCCGGCCTGTGCCCGTCCCCTGAGAACTTGGTGCACAGTTACCCCGGCCTGTGCCCGTCCCCTGAGAACTTGGTGCACAGTTACCCCGGCCTGTGCCCGTCCCCTGAGAACTTGGTGCACAGTTACCCCGGCCTGTGCCCGTCCCCTGAGAACTTGGTGCACAGTTACCCCGGCCTGTGCCCGGCCCCTGAGAACTTGGTGCACAGTTACCCCGGCCTATGCCCGTCCCCTGAGAACTTGGTGCACAGTTACCCCGGCCTATGCCCGGCCCCTGAGAACTTGGTGCACGGTTACCCCGGCCTGTGCCCGTCCCCTGAGAACTTGGTGCACAGTTACCCCGGCCTGTGCCCGTCCCCTGAGAACTTGGTGCACGGTTACCCCGGCCTGTGCCCGGCCCCTGAGAACTTGGTGCACAGTTACCCCGGCCTGTGCCCGTCCCCTGAGAACTTGGTGCACAGTTACCCCGGCCTGTGCCCGCCCCCTGAGAAATTGGTGCACAGTTACCCCGGCCTGTGCCCGTCCCCTGAGAACTTGGTGCACAGTTACCCCGGCCTGTGCCCGGCCCCTGAGAACTTGGTGCACAGTTACCCCGGCCTGTGCCCGTCCCCTGAGAACTTGGTGCACAGTTACCCCGGCCTGTGCCCGGCCCCTGAGAACTTGGTGCACAGTTACCCCGGCCTGTGCCTGTCCCCTGAGAACTTGGTGCACAGTTACCCCGGCCTATGCCTGGCCCCTGAGAACTTGGTGCACAGTTACCCCGGCCTGTGCCCGGCCCCTGAGAACTTGGTGCACAGTTACCCCGGCCTATGCCCGGCCCCTGAGAACTTGGTGCACAGTTACCCCGGCCTATGCCCGGCCCCTGAGAACTTGGTGCACAGTTACCCCGGCCTATGCCCGTCCCCTGAGAACTTGGTGCACAGTTACCCCGGCCTATGCCCGTCCCCTGAGAACTTGGTGCACAGTTACCCCGGCCTGTGCCCGTCCCCTGAGAACTTGGTGCACAGTTACCCCGGCCTATGCCCGTCCCCTGAGAATTTGGTGCAGTTACCCCGGCCTGTGCCCGTCCCCTGAGAACTTGGTGCACAGTTACCCCGGCCTATGCCCGGCCCCTGAGAACTTGGTGCACAGTTACCCCGGCCTGTGCCCGTCCCCTGAGAACTTGGTGCACAGTTACCCCGGCCTGTGCCCGTCCCCTGAGAACTTGGTGCACAGTTACCCCGGCCTGTGCCCGTCCCCTGAGAACTTGGTGCACAGTTACCCCGGCCTGTGCCCGTCCCCTGAGAACTTGGTGCACAGTTACCCCGGCCTGTGCCCGTCCCCTGAGAACTTGGTGCACAGTTACCCGGCCTGTGCCCGTCCCCTGAGAACTTGGTGCACAGTTACCCGGCCTGTGCCCGGCCCCTGAGAACTTGGTGCACAATTACCCGGCCTGTGCCCGTCCCCTGAGAACTTGGTGCACAGTTACCCCGGCCTATGCCCATCCCCTGAGAACTTGGTGCACAGTCACCCGGCCTGTGCCCGGCCCCTGAGAACTTGGTGCACAGTTACCCCGGCCTATGCCTGTCCCCTGAGAACTTGGTGCACAGTTACCCGGCCTGTGCCCGGCCCCTGAGAACTTGGTGGACAGTTACCCTTCTCCGGGAGCCACGACAACCTAGCCAGCAGCACCCACAGTCCTAATACTGGAATCAATGAGATCTGAAGATTGGAGCAATTCCCAGGCAAGAGCTCCTAGGAATTAAATCTCTTGTTACAAAAATATGGTTTAATCTCCACGGGATTTTGAAAATAAAATCGAAAACAACAATCTCCCAGAAAACAGGAAAATGACAAAATAATGGAAAATAAGAGTAAAAAGATGAGATGCTCACAGTGACTTTGCAAAAACTCCAACATATGATGACAAAGCTCTCAAAAGAGCATAGAGAAAGCAGAGTGGGGAAATGATCCAGGAAAAGGAAATTCTAGAAAAATCACCAATTCTAGAAAAATCACCAGACCCAAAGTCGGTGAGATTATAGATGGCAGGTGCATGAACTCCCCAGAACAGTGAATACAACATAGGCCGACACCCCTGGAAAACTCCCATACACCAGCATTGCCAGGGGAGCCTGTGAGCTTTCAGGGAGAAAAGACAGATCGAGAAACCAGATGGCTTCCATCTTCTCCAGAGCGGCAGGGACAGCTGGGAGAACCTGCAGAATTCCCTCCAGAATCCTGGAGAAGTGGTGGCTGCTCCGGAGCTCCAGGCACAGGCACACCACCTGCCAGATGTGAGAGTGGAGTAAGAGGGCCAGCCACACAGAGTCTCTGAGGCTCCCCTTCGCTCTCTCAGGAAGATTCGGAGGATGTGCTGACCCAGAAACGAGAGAAGAAACCTGGACAGAGGAAGGTGCGGGGATCCAGGAACCAGGGATTCAGCCAGGTTAGCAGCTGAGGAGATGCTCAGGATGGGGAGGAAAGCCCAGGCCACACCGGCATAGAATGCGGCAAGAAGGTGAGATCCGAAGAAAAAAAGGATTGATTTTTGAATGGGTTTTACCATATTGATGGAAAAAAAATGCTATGACTATGTTGAGAGAATTTTGAACTGTATTAATGATATAAATTATGCACATTAAAAAGTAAAGTAATAACTCCAGGGAAGGTAAAATGTTGTATGAGGATAGATAATAATAGCTCATTATGCAGATTCACATTGAATAATGTTTACCTAAAAATAAATTTAATACTAAATGTTAATTGGACGTCATATTGGTAAGCCAGAAAAGAGGGGACCAAGATAACGGCATGTATTGCGGGTGTGGTCGAAAAGCTCAGGTATCATATAGCAAAACAGCAGAGCCGTCGTGATCATTGACAGTAAGGAGGATGGTATTGAAGAAAACAGCCGGAGGAGGTGAGGGCTTGTCTGTGGGAAGAGTTCTTCTTCATGCAGAGGGTGGAGAGACTGAGAGGCAGGTCTGCTGATTTTCTTCATAAGGCTTTTATAGTATTATCAGATTTTTGTAAAAGTGTATACATGAAAAATTAGTATAAAGATGAAATTTGGAATTTAAAATAAAAGAATGGAATAAGTTCACAGAGAGTAGAAACCCTGAATTGGGCAGTGGCCACGGGGCTGCAGAGAAGGCTGGGTTTGGCTACCTGGAGACACACATCACAGCATTAAGATTGGCAGTCTGGTGCACGGGGGCTGAGGGGCAGTTTGCAGAACTGAGGAGGTTCTGGAGAAGGACGGTGGTCGTGGTTGCACGGCAGTGAGTGTATCTGACGCCACTGAACTGCACCACTGGACGTGGCTAGAATGGTGAATTTCGTGTATGTTCTACCCCACAGAAAAAGATCAGGTGCCTGTTTGACTTCAAAGTGTGGAAGAAATAGGCACTAAGTTGGGTCCTGGGTTTTGGGTTGAGGTGGTTGGTGACTGGTAGGGGTGAAGGGTGAGAGGAAGGTTCAGGTAGGAATGGCAACCAGATTTTTCTCAGGAACCAGGTGGAGGGCCTCACCTGTGCCACAATCGGAACCAGGAAAAGGCATGAAATTGTCCAGGAGGCCAGTGATGTCAGTCTAAGAGCCTGTGGATTTGATGGCGCTGGAAGCCGAGATGTCCTGTGAGTAGGTTCACCTGGGGGTCTGGAGCCCCACAGTTAGGGTTACGGGTGGGTTAGCGATCAAGGCGTGGAGGTCCCCAGCGCGTGAGCAAACACGGTGGGCGCAGAGCTGCTGGAGACTCACTGGCCAGACGTGGATGCAGCCAGTGCGTGCGGGCTGGGGCTAGTGTCAGCGTCTCACAGCGTCAGGGCTGTGAGAGCAGAGGCCGTGGATGAGGAGGCGCTGGTTCAGGTGTCAGGGCTGTAAGAGGCAGAGGCCGTGGATGAGGAGGCGCTGGTTCAGGTGTCAGGGCTGTGAGAGGCAGATGCCGTGGATGAGGAGGCGCTGGTTCAAGTGTCAGGGCTGTGAGAGGCAGAGACCGTGGATGAGGAGGCGCTGGTTCAGGTGTCAGGGCTGTGAGAGCAGAGGCCGTGGATGGGGAGGCGCTGGTTCAAGTGTCAGGGCTGTGAGAGGCAGATGCCGTGGATGAGGAAGCGCTGGTTCAAGTGTCAGGGCTGTGAGAGGCAGAGGCCGTGGATGAGGAGGCGCTGGTTCAGGTGTCAGGGCTGTGAGAGCAGAGGCCGTGGATGAGGAGGCGCTGGTTCAGGTGTCAGGGCTGTGAGAGCAGAGGCCGTGGATGAGGAGGCTCTGGTTCAGGTGTCAGGGCTGTGAGAGCAGAGGCTGCAGGTGGGGAGGGCTCTGGTCCCACAGACTAAGGGTGTGGAAGTGCAGGGCCTCTTCATGACGGGAGGCACGTGGACCTCTTTATGGGAAATGCCATAATGGGAGGAGCGGGACTCTGGAGGAGGAGGATGGGAAGGCGACGTGGCTTCCTCCCAGTCAGTGGGGAGGGGACTCTGGAGGAGGACGATGGGAAGGCGACGGTGGCTTCCTCCCAGTCAGTGGGGAGGGTGGCTGCAGCATCCCGGGGAAGCCAGAGGATCTGCAGAGAGGAGAGGTCAGAGAAAGTGGCGAAGCTTGGAATGATAACACGGGAGTTGACAAGGGGCCCTGCTGAGGGTACTCAGAGCTGGAAGAAGTGTCGATGAGGGACCCCGCTAAGGGCACTCAGAGCTGGAAGAGGTGTGGACGAGGCCGCTCGGTGCAGACCACAGGTTTTTAGCAGAACCAATCTGCACAGTTCTTTGATTTTTATCCCACCAGGCTCAGCAGCTTGGATAGAAAAAAAGCTGATGATGAAATGCTTCCAGACCTCAGATTGTGCAGAATGGATGCAGCGGAGAGACAAGAACTGCCTGTCCATGAGAACGTCCTCCAAGGACAGCTGTTTTCCAGACTTCCTCTTAGGTGGCCGTGGAGCAGCTGGGGACCTACAGGTACAACCCCGGGCGGAGACCCAGAGCGAGCCTTCCCTGCAAGGATCCAACGCAGACCCAGATCTGCCCCAGACCCAGATCTGCCTTTTCATGAAAATTGGAAGACAACAGTGATTGCTGAAAAACAGCTAGCAGGCGTCCCACAGAGAGGGGCCGCGGAGCACCCAGCTCCGGCACAGACAGCTCTCCCTCACACGTGAACAGGAGCAACCGCAGGCTCTCGTCTGCACCCACGGAGTGTGTCTGGATGGATGTTGCCTGGAAATGCTTCCAGGCAGGAAAAACTTAACAGGCTGACATTTCATCCGTTGATGGAGATCACAGGGCCCTGGTGGAGTATCAGGCTTAGAGGAGAAGCTCTTCCAAAAATCAGTAACTAAATCGAGGCACTCTCTGAGCTCTCCAGATGTAAACCAAACGACTCTGGAATGATCTCTGCCATAGTAATCATGTTGGTGAAAACCAGATGGGAGCCTCTCATCTGGGCTTCTCCAGAAGGCGCAGAAATGTGTCTGTCACCTACACAACGCTGTGGTGTGCTTGTATCTTTACAAACTCTTATGTATGACCTTTTAAAACTCCGTTTATTAAAATAATACTTTTTTTTTCATTTTCTTCCTTTTGCTGGAGTAAGTTTTTTGTATGCATAAAATGAAACAGATGGCCATGAACTCAGAACATCAGGGTTAGTTCCAGGCCCACCTACGAGCCCTTCCTGTCCATTCTGGGACCTCTGTGTACTGCACTGCAATTAGAAAATGACAATCTGTCGAGCTGTGTGCTCCTGTATGCTTGCGGGCCTCTGGTCTCTGCGTGCCGCCTCCCTTGCCTGCTTGAGGACTGGACTTCTGCCCTTTAACTGCAGTCCCGTCCACCTCTCACCTCCATTGAGCCGCCAAGCTCTGATCTGAGTCTCTTGTTGGGTGCTGGTGGTGAGGGAGGATCTTTTCATTTGGCGGAGGGCTCTGCCTGAGAATACTGCAGGTGGATTTCAGCTCAACCCTCTGTTACAAAACCATTTTTCAAGTCTCTTATCCACAGAGCGAGCCCATAGCGAATGCAAACACACTGTGCTGTGTGCAAGAGTCATAAAGAATTACAAGGCAGCATCACCGTCCTCATAAAATGGCAAGGCAGGCAGCAACCTCAGAAGCCAAATTAAACACAGCCAGCATGGCAGCACTGAAATCAGAAGGACCCAGGGTCTGTGCTGGCAGGATGAAGGGGCAGCAGCTGAACCCCCCATGTGGGGTCATCTGGAACACGTGCCTTGGGTGAATACAACAGGACCTTGAAAATGAGTTGGACTAAGTCAGAAGAAAGAAGACGTTCCAAGAGTAGGAAGAAGCTTTGGAGGCAGAAATGTCTGGGGATAATGAGACCCCGGTTGGCTAGATGGGAATTGGAAAGATTAACTCGGAAGTGTCCATGGGGACATTGTGCAGGATGTTGAATCCAAGGCTAGACATTACGAGCTTCCAAACTAGGCAATGGGGCATTCAAGGATTTGCAACAAGAAAGCAAACGGCCTGAGGTAGGGGTTTTGGGGTACCGTGCAGAATGACCTGGCAGTACCCATGAGTCTGGATGCCCCATTCAGAGGCCAGATCGGATCTGTGCAGAGGCACGCGGCTCATCCAGGGACACCAGGCTGTGGCTGCAAATGGGATGTCAGGAAGGGGTGACTCAGTGCCAAGCAAAGTGAGGGATGATGAAAAATGATAATAGCTGGGGTTTTGGCCCCACATAATGAGAGTAAGATTGGTGTTTTTATCAGTTGGAGCGCTACCAGCACATGTTCCACCATGGATGCCTCACAGAGCTGGCCCCATGCAGAGTCCAGGAAGGGGCTGGGCAGGGGACTGCTCTAGAAGAGGAGATGGGTTCATAAAAGGTTTAGAGGGCAGAGGGCCTGGCGATGTGTTTTCTGTTCTTGATTTCACTCCAGTATTTAAGGAGCTCACTTTGGTGCAAATAATTTATTTTTCCTAGTTTGAAGAAAACACCCTTTCTCAAGCCAGTTTATCCTTAGAAGAGGTCATTTCATTAAGCGGAAGCAGCAAATGTGTTGCTGCATCTCCAAGACCCGAGTATGTGTCTTCCCCTCCTGAACGCTTGTGCGTCCACCTTGGACAACCAACAAGGGGCCATGGAGGAGCCGTCGGTGTCTGTGACAAAATAACCCATTGTTGTGATGCTGTAGGATCTTTCAGAAAACCAGGTCGTAGGACTGAGAGCGTGAAGAACTGTTTGAATCGCCTTATCTATCCCCTTGTTGCGATGCTGTAGGATCTTTCAGAAAACCCAGGTCATAGGACTGAGAGCATGAAGAACTGTTTGAATTGCCTTATCTACATCTCTAATTTTTCAGAGGCTGGGGTGGGCCTAGAAAACAAGACCCCTGAGTTCCAGGCTCGGGTGCCATTGGAACACCCAGATTATGGACGGGGCGGCCTTGAAGTGGACGTGAGGATGAGTCATTCCTCCATGAGCCCAGATCCCAGGTCGAGGCGCAGTCCAGATCCTGGGTTGAGGCGCCATCTGGATCCAGGGTCGAGGTGCAGGGTTACCTGTTACCTGCACTCCCATGGGGAGGGCTTCCCTTTCTTCCCATCAACTCGCGGCACTCGGGGAAAACCTGTGGCCCCCGTCGGCCTGACTTGCTAATGGGAGGCAAACCGGTTGCGCTGACTTGGACGCCGCGTGGTCCTTCTAAGTGCCATTGTCCTGCTGTGCCTCATTGCCGAGTGTGAGAATGCAACTAAGTGAAAGCAAATAGACCTTGTCCGAAAAGGCCCAAAATAGACTCTGCTTGTTATCATATTAACTTTGCATTTTAACTGTGACCCTACATGGTGTGGAAACCCGTGGGGAGTCCCGTGGGCCTGGGCCTCCATGCATCTCTGGGGACTGGGCCAGGCCTGGGTCAGCACTTCTGCGTTTCAGTGGAAGTGCCAGACCTTTGCCAGGTGATGGCACAGTAGTGATGCTCATGGGCTGTGTTGTTTCTTTGGGATAATTGCAGCTTGAAACTCCTGGCATCTGTGATTGGACTTTGGCAAAGTGAATGTATGTGTGTTGGAATGGGGCGTGTGTCTTTGTTAAATGTGACGTTTTTTTTTTTTTTTTGAGACGGAGTCTCTGTGACTCTTTTTTTACAACTATTCCCCCCAAATGGAGACAGATCAGTTTTGCTCTAAATGTGAATCCGAGGCCTCAGGAAGGCATTCGAGGTTTTCAGAACCTCCTTGTCCTCCTGAGTCGTGTATTGAGTGCTTACTGAGCGCCACCTCCTCGTCCTCCAGAGTCGTGCATTGAGTGCTTACTGAGCGCCACCTCCTCGTCCTCCAGAGTCGTGTATTGAGTGCTTACTGAGTGCCACCTCCTCGTCCTCCAGAGTCGTGTATTGAGTGCTTACTGAGCGCTCCCTCCTCATCCTCCTGAGTCGTGTATTGAGTGCTTACTGAGCGCTCCCTCCTCATCCTCCTGAGTCGTGTATTGAGTGCTTACTGAGCGCTCCCTCCTCGTCCTCCTGAGTCGTGTATTGAGTGCTTACTGAGTGCCACCTCCTCATCCTCCGGAGTCGTGTATTGAGTGCTTACTGAGCGCTCCCTCCTCGTCCTCCTGAGTCGTGTATTGAGTGCTTACTGAGCGCTCCCTCCTCGTCCTCCTGAGTCGTGTATTGAGTGCTTACTGAGCGCTCCCTCCTCGTCCTCCAGAGTCGTGTATTGAGTGCTTACTGAGCGCCACCTCCTCGTCCTCCAGAGTCGTGTATTGAGTGCTTACTGAGCGCTCCCTCCTCATCCTCC
Source organism: Homo sapiens (assembly GCF_000001405.40). Lineage (NCBI taxonomy): Eukaryota > Metazoa > Chordata > Mammalia > Primates > Hominidae > Homo > Homo sapiens. The sequence goes on from NT_187565.1 coordinate 112,422, forward strand.
TGAGTCGTGTATTGAGTGCTTACTGAGCGCTCCCTCCTCGTCCTCCTGAGTCGTGTATTGAGTGCTTACTGAGCGCCACCTCCTCATCCTCCGGAGTCGTGTATTGAGTGCTTACTGAGCGCTCCCTCCTCATCCTCCTGAGTCGTGTATTGAGTGCTTACTGAGCGCTCCCTCCTCGTCCTCCTGAGTCATGTATTGAGTGCTTACTGAACGCCACCTCCTCATCGTCCAGAGTCGTGTATTGAGTGCTTACTGAGCGCCACCTCCTTGTCCTCCAGAGTCATGTATTGAGTGGTTACTGAGCACCACCTCCTCGTCCTCCAGAGTCGTGTATTGAGTGCTTACTGAGCACCACCTCGTCCTCCAGAGTCGTGTATTGAGTGCTTACTGAGCACCACCTCCTCATCCTCCAGAGTCGTCTATTGAGTGCTTACTGAGCGCCACCTCCTCATCCTCCAGGGTAGTGTACTGAGTGCTTACTGAGCGCCACCTCCTCATCCTCTGGGGTCGTGTATTGAGTGCTTACTGAGCACCACCTCCTCATCCTCCAGGGTAGTGTATTGAGTGCTTACTGAGCGCCACCTCCTCATCGTCCAGAGTCGTGTATTGAGTGCTTACTGAGCACCACCTCCTCATCCTCCAGAGTCGTGTATTGAGTGCTTACTGAGCGCCACCTCCTCATCCTCCAGAGTCGTGTATTGAGTGCTTACTGAGCGCCACCTCCTCATCCTCCAGAGTCGTGTATTGAGTGCTTACTGAGCGCCACCTCCTCATCCTCCAGAGTCGTGTATTGAGTGCTTACTGAGCGCCATCTCCTCATCCTCCAGAGTCGTGTATTGAGTGCTTACTGAGCGCCACCTCCTCATCCTCCAGGGTCGTGTATTGAGTGCTTACTGAGCGCCACCTCCTCATCCTCCAGGGTCGTGTATTGAGTGCTTACTGAGCGCCACCTCCTCATCCTCCGGAGTCGTGTATTGAGTGCTTACTGAGCGCCACCTCCTCATCCTCCGGAGTCGTGTATTGAGTGCTTACTGAGCACCACCTCCTTGTCCTCTGCAGTCATGTATTGAGTGCTGACTGAGTACCGCAGGGTCCACCTCAGGGCTTCCAGCAGTTCCTTGTTGGGGGTTGGGGTGGGCTGTCCTGCACAGCACAGCATGTTTAACAGCGTCGCTGGACTCAGCACTGGATGCCAGTCAGGACAACCAAAAATGCCTCCAGATAGTGCCAAATGCCCCCCAGGGGATAGAATCGTCTCCTGAGAACAGCTGGTCTTCACTGAGATCAAGGCAAGCCTGGTCTCTGGCTCACTCTTTCTTTCCAGCATCTCCAGTTAGCATTTTATTCCCGTAGTTGAAGAACACAGGAATCCTTGTGCTCTTTCCACCTGCCTCACTGTCCAACTCATTCTCCACTTTCCTCGATGCCATTTCAGTTTCCCCTCCTGCTGATGATCTGGGTCTGTTTCCTCACTCTCCAGAGTGTCTGAGGGTTTCCCCTTCCCTCGGGGAGGCGTCTGTGTTCTCATCAGGGGAGAAATCAGTTCCAGGCCCCAGCTCCAAGTTCGCCACAACCTGTTAGTTCACCTGGGGCCTTGCGTAATCACGAGCATCTGGGGCACCGTGTCAAGTCCTGAAGCCCCCATGGCCCTGCAGAGGGACCTTCTCTGGGCCTTGGATGATGAGGGTGCTGCTCTCCACTGGGACTCCAGCATTGTCAGGCACAGACACACACGGTGTTAACTGTTCGGCAACTGGAGTTTCTAAGCCTGTTTTCTGGAGCAGGCAACATGGATTCACGCATAACTTTGAAAATGTATCTTGGATGTTTGAGGCCTTCTAGCAAGTCCTTGTTTCAGGCTTTCACAGGACAGTGCAGAGGGTTTTCTGGTGAAAGCAGAACCCGGGAAAGCCAGGTTTTGGGAACTCGTGGCAGCTCTACCACCAAGAGACCCTTCGTCTGTCACTTTCACTGCGTTAACAGGAAGACTTGACTGTCATTTAACATTAAGGTGCGCAGGGCACAGAGAAGAAAGCTGGGCAGTGGTGGTCCATGATGCCTGTCTGCCCACCCTCCTGGGCCACAGGGTCTGTCTTGTTGGAGACAGTGGACATTTAATCGATGTCTGTTGGGGAAGCATCAGTTAATTCCCTGAAAGATAAATCCACCTATGAAAAAGACAGCAGCATTGCCTCAGTTCCAGAATGTGGACCACTGCCCAACCCCTTCCTCACTGTAGCAGGCGCCCGGCTCCCCTTGGACCACTGCCCAGTTCCTTGCTCACCATAGCAGGCGCCTGGCTCCCCTTGGACCACTGCCCAACTCCTTCCTCACCATAGGAAGCCCATCTCCCCTTGGCAGCCCTGGCCCTGAGCACAGAATTGTCTAGACCAGCTGAGAACCAACTGGAACCAACCAGTTCCTTCCTCACCATAGCAGGTGCCTGGCTCCCCTTGGACCACTGCCCAACTCCTTCCTCACCGTAGGCGCCCAGCTCCCCTTGGCAGTCCTGGTGCTGAGCACAGAATTGTCTAGACCAGCTGAGAACCAACCGGAAGAAATGGGCTCAGTAAAGACTGATTTCAGAAATTCTCCAGACACAAGTTCAAGAAGAGAGCTGGGTGTGACGAACGTGCTCAGAACCCTCCTCGCTTCCCAGCCTGTCACCCTGTGATGGTGAATCTTCTCCGTCACCTAGACTGGGATAGGGGATGCCCACAGAGCTGGGAAGACATTTTCCAGATGTGTCTGTGGTGGTGTTTCTGGAAGGACCAGCGTTTGAATCAGGGAATGAGTAAAGCAGACCCCACCCCAGTGCAGGCGGGCGTCCCCCAGTCCATGAGGGCTCAAATAGAACTGAAAGAGGAAGGGAGGACCTCCTCTCTTCTTGAGCTGGGACCTTCATCTTCTCCTGCCCTCCACCAGAGCCCCAGGGCCTTCAGGCTCTGAGGCTTTCACCAGCAGCCCCTCAGTGCCGGGGCCTTCGGGCTTAGACTGAATTACACCTGACCCCGTGGGTCTCCAGCTGTGGGGCTTCTCAGCCTCCATAATCATATGATCCAGTTCCGAAAATAAAACCCCCTCTTATGTGTCTGTGTGTCCTGTTGGTTCCATTCCTCCAGAGAACCCTGACCGATACGTGCTGCAGGTGTGTAGACCTTTGGCTAACTGAGAAATGGTGTCAGGTCCACAAGCCAAGCGGTGTCCTCCCCAGGAATGCCAGACGCTGACACCAAGTGCCCAAGGGGAAGGGGAGGTTTCAAAACATGCCCTCGATCTGCTGAGGAGACCGCAAGCTTCGATCAGGGCCCAGATCATCTGGGAGTGGTTGGAATCTCACTGGCTTCAGAGCAGAATCTTTGCATTGTGAGGCACTGGCAATGAGGATACCAGTAATAGTGACACGGAAGGTAACATTCACGGGCATGGCTTCACGCGTGCGGCACCGTGGCCCAGGCAGCCTCACGGTGAGGAGCTCCCAGCAGAGCAGACGCCACTCTGACCCCTTTGAAATACTCGCTGAGTGCTTCCTTTTTATTCTCTCCCCTCAGTTCACATAATTCTGTAGCAGTAACTTACTGTCATGTCCCACAGTTTCATGGGGTCACTAGAGGAAGGCTTCCTGCAGGGGTCCATCTGCAGGCTACTGCATTTCCGCACAGGTCGAGTTAAAGCAAAAGCATCAAGTCAGCTCCCTTCTCAGAATGAAATACAGTGAAATTATGGCTTAAAACTCCTAGGGGAGCTTGTAAGTATGAAGAGGCAGCAGCACATAAGTGTGTTTCACGCACGGCATCAGGGACACCCCATGGGCCTGCGTCAAACCCCACGTCCAGGTCAAGGGATCCAGAGATGCTGATTTGGAACCTGGTTTTCTTGTTCAGGAATTTTCCCAGATTATGGCCACCTTTCCCTGTGGGAATGTCCTTGCTTCACTCTGGAGCCATTTTTTTTTTTTTTTTTTAAACTTCCTTGTTTTCATTTGTCTTATCCAGGAAGGAAGGCTGAGCTCCTGGTGAACATGTAAATATCTTTACTTCTCTATTTAAGAGACTGTAATCATTATTTTGTTATAATTGCATAGTGTTGTACGTTACTTTGACTTGCCAGCTAAACTAATATTTCTGTGGGTTTATTTATTGAGTTTCAGTGCATAAAAGGTGACTAAAGTGTCACCGTGGAAAGCTACCTGCATACGCCAGTTGTTCCTTTCAGGTATTCAGTCGTGGTCTCTTGTTCTGGAAACCCAACATCTCCTAATTAAAATCGTCGTATGTTAATTGCTCTGCTTAACTACAGAGAAATTATTCATTGCAATAATTTGGTCTGAAAATGAATGTTTATATATATTGTGTCTTTTAACAATGTGCAATGAATAGCTACATTATATACTATAATAAGTCAAAGAAAACAGAGTTAGGAATAATCAAAACACCAAAAATCTTATATGGTTTTGAAGGCAGGGAATTATAATGTTGATACATATGGGTTTCCACATAAAAGAGCATAAAAGCACGAAGGACTTGACCCCTGAGCCAGGCGGTCCTAGCTGGCCTTTGGCCCCACTTGTGCCGAAGATATAACTCCATCCTGCTTGCCTCCGGCTCCCTAGCCTGGTGACATTGGCAGGAAGACGAAGTCATAAACTGTGCCGGTAGAGCCTTGGGCAGATTAAACGAGGTAACCGAAATGCGGAACCTGCAGGTGGTAGACTTGAGGGCCTCGTGCTCCTCCTGGCCCGGTTTATCCTCTCCTTTCCCTCCTGCTCTGAACCATCTGCTGAACTTCAAACAATGCCAAGAGTAAGCATTTCACAGGCTCACGAAGCTGCGTGTCTACTTCATTTAAGGGCTTCTAAAATTATTTCCGTGAACTTTCCAGAACTTGAATTTATGGAAAGCTGCGCATGAAGTCTCTCTCACTAAGGGTGAATTTTCCCTAATCAGCTCTGCCCTCATGAGCCGTCGTGTGGGCCCTGGTGGTGCGGCACACTCATCCAGGCCTTTGCAAGTGGTACACAGAGTGTGGGGGTGGATGCTTCCACGCCAGTATCCTCCACATTCAGACACATGCTCCGAAAACCTACAGGCAACAGCAAGGGCTCTGGAAGACACAGATGCCATGGGCAGGTGATCTCCTGCTAGGGATGTCCTGCCATGGACCCTCACCTCCCCTGGAGTCACTGCCCTTTCTCCATTCCTGCCTCCAGGCCTCTCAAGCATGGGCTGGGCTTGCTGCATCTCCCTCCTCCTCACCTGTGCTCCCTTTTTAGCTCCAGTGCTATGGCTCCCACTGCCCTCTGCAGAGCCCCCAGCACTGGGACTTTTATGCTGAAGGCGAGGTCCCCCGCCAGCCTCCTGCTCTGAGCCCTAGACTCTGCAGCCTGCTTGTCTTTCAGGCCTCCTCCTCCCTAGCCTTCTGAGGCTGCATTCTCTCCCTCAGCCTCCCTGTCTCCCGGGCTCTTTCTCCTCCATCTCTCTTACAGATGTGGAGGTTCCAAAAGGTTCTCAGAGTCTCACCCTCTTCCATATGATTTGTTACATTGCTAAATGCATGCATGCATCTGATCTCACGAATTCCGTGCTGAAATATCCCACTGCTGCTACTTGACCTGCAGAATAAATGTGTGGTTTCTCAGCTTGGCCTTGTGTATCCTTGGTAAGCCCCAGCCATTCCAGCTGTGAGCCCTCAGATAAGTTGCTTCACCCCTCTCTGCCTCAGTGTCCTCTTCTGAGAAATGGTGATAGCAATGGAGCCCACTGTGAAGATCACAGGCTCTTTGTGAAGGTCAGAGTCAGTGCATGTAATTATTGAGTCTTTCTTGCTGTTCTTGGGCACTTAGCAAGACCTCTACAGGCAAAAGGCAATTGCCAGCTGTGATGGCCATTCTGACTCTAACATACCCTCCCTATTCACAGCCCTCCCCAGCAGATGGCCTGTGTCTCCAGTGCTCAGGGCCACCTGCATTTCCTGAGATTACAGTGCTCTCGCATGCTATTTCCTGTCTCCCTGTCTCTGACTTCCCTCCCTCCTGCTGGGAAAATTCCTTCAATACCCAGCTCAAGTGTCCCCTCCTCCGTAAAACAGACTTGCCCTTCCTGACCACAGTGTGGGAAAAATCCTTCAATACCCAGCTCAAGTGTCCCCTCCTCTGTGAAGAGGGCTTCCTCTTCTTGACCAGTGCCATTACCTCCTCAGTTCTCCTAGTGTCCCTCTGGAACTCACAGCTTTGTGTTCTATTTGCCCCTCTGTGTTTTCTACTGGACAGTGGCTCCTTCCAAGTCATGGCTTGTCTCCCTCCTCTCTGTAGCACCTTTGTATGTTTCAACACCTTTATTATTAGCTATTTATTTATAGTATTTTTAAAGTAAATAAAGGAAGAAGCATAAAGATAGAAGGATGGGAAGCAGAATGAATAAATGGATAGATATTTTCAAGAACAGAGGAAGAAAATGAATTACTATTGTAATATAAATGAACAACCTATTGAAGAAAGGAAAATATAGTTTCAATGCTCAAGAAGCATAAAAAAGACTTTCAAAGTAAGTCCAATTTAAGGGCAAGCAAAAGTCACTATGCATATTTTACTTAGATTCTCAAAAAGTTGTAGATTACTTTGCACTAAATCTGGCAAGTATAGAGTTATAATGGAAATGAAAAAATGTTTTGTCACAGAAAAAGTATTGCCTTAAAGTCCAGAAACATGAGATGTTCGAAGGCCCTTCTCTGGATGGAGGAATAATATGAAAGGGAATGAAAATCTCAGTAATCAGTGATTGGAGTCACTCTTATCTTTGATAAATGGTCTTGAACTCAAAGGGCACCACCCAGTCTCCCAGTATGTAGCTCTTCTGCAGATGCAATGACAGGATGATGGGGTTAGATTGTGCAGCTCTCACAAAGCTCCATCAGTGCACACACGCCTGCCAGGTGGGCCTTGGTGAGGCACAGCCTGAGAAGAGGCACGTGCAGATGCACAATGTCAATGGCATACTTATTAAATGGTGAATTCTTGTTTATCATTTTTTTTTTCAAAAAGAGCTCCAAACTCATCGTAAGCTGTTCACTGAAGACACCATCAACAGGGTGCTGTGATTGAAAGCAAATAGTCAAAAAGTGCAGCTCAGGGCACCGTGTGGACACTTAGTGACATGCCTAGGAATTCTGCTTTTTCCTCTGCTGTTAGTGTTGGGGAAAGGCATTCTTTCAAGGTCTGTAAAGTCAGAGTTGCAGGCTGTTGAGAAAGTGAAGTGTTCAGGGTTGGGGGGAGTTGTCTGTTGAGAGAAACTGACTTATATTCGTAAAGATGGAATCTGAGAAAGTGCTAAAGCTGGAAACTGGAATGGCAGGGGTGTTCTGTGGACTCTTGTGGGGTTGGCATGGCGCCCTGAGCATGTGATTGGAGGGTGTGTTTCACAGTTGTCAGAATGAGGCCAACAAGGCTGAAGGCTGTAGCCAGGGAGAGGCAGTGAGGACCTGCCAAGGGCAAGCCAGAAATGCAAGGTCCGGGGTGTGAGTCAGGTCGTGACCCATGGAGCCGGTCAAGTGTGGGAGGCAAGAGGCATGGGGACATGAGGGACTGACCAGGCCGGGGGTCCCAGTGCAGGGTCCACACCAGAGCAGAAGCGGAAGGTGGCGGGGAGGGACTGACCGGGCTGGGGGTCCCAGTGCAGAGTCCACACCAGAGTGGAGGCAGAACACGGCTGGGAGGGACTGAGCGGAGCTGCCCGGCAGCTGTCTCTGAGGATCCCGCCATCTACGCACGTCCAGGCGTCCTCTGCCCTCAGCGTGTCTTGCCTTACAAGCATGGAACCTCCTGTTAAATAATCAGGTGTCTGGCTGGGCACGGTGGTGCATGTCTGTAATCCCAACACTTTCGGAGGCCAAGGTGGGCAGATCACCTGAGGTCAGGAGTTTGAGACCAGCCTGGCCAACATGGCAAAACCCCATGTCTACTAAAAGTACAAAAATTAGCCAGGCGTGGTGGCAGGCATCTGTAATCCCAGCTGCTTGGGAGGCTGAGGCAGGGGAATCACTTGAACCTGGGAGGTGGAGGTTTCAGTGAGCTGAGGTCATGCCCCTGCACTCGAGCCTGGGCAACAGAGCAAGACTCCGTCTCAAAAGAAAAAAAAAGAAGAAAAAAAATCAAGCATTTTGATCCCTGTATTATACTTGTCCAGCCTTTGGCTGTGGTGCACATGCATACATACGTGTACACACATGTGCACACATGCATACAAACAGGTACACACATGCGTACAAACAGGCAACTCTATTCTGCCAACCTGTGGGCTGTGTCTATCTTTAATCTGTGAACTTGACTCCAGGCAGCCCTAAACTGGTTTTAGGATACAAAACTTTCACTTTTAATTATTTTCTTATGACTTTCTCTAGTGCGTCTTTCTGATTTAAGGGCTAATTTTTTTTTCAACTTTTATTTTAGATCCGGGGGTACGTTGGCAAGTTTGTTACATGGATTTATTTCATGACACTGAAGTTTGAGGTGCAAATGATCCCATCACCCAGACACTGAGCACAGCACCCAATGGGCAGTGTTTCTTCCCCAGCCCCTTTTTCCCTCCCCCTCTAGTAGCCCTGGTGTCTGCTCTTCGCACCTTTATGTCCACGTGTGCCCTATGTTTAGCCTCCACTTATAAGTGAGAACACGTGGTGTCTGGCTTTCTGTTCCTGTGGTAATTCACTTGGGACTAAGGCCCCCACCTGCATCCGTGTTGCTGCAGAGGACGTGATTCCATTCTCTCTTACGGCTGCATAGAATTTCGTGGTGTATAGGTAGCACTGTCTCTTTATCTCATCCACCTTTGATGGGCACCTGGGTTGCTTCCATGTTTTTGCTATTGCGAACCTTGTGAACCATGCTGCAGTGAACATACATGTGTCAGTGTCTTTTTGGTAGAATGATTTATTTTCCTTTGGGTATATACCCAGTCATGGGATTGCTGATTTAAGTTCTTTGAGAAATCTTCAAGCTGCTTTCCATAGTGGCTGAGCTAATTTACAATCCCACAAACAGGGTAGAAACTCCTTGAGGGGTCATTTCATGACTAAAAGAATATTTTTTAACATAAATTGGGGGAGGGTGATGGGTGACAAAACTGACTACCCCTGCCAATGGGAAGCAGGTGGAAAATGCAAAATTATTTGACAGACTTAAAGATGTTATTAGATGACAAAAACATAGAGGACCCTGCATAATATCTGCTTGAGGTGCTAAAGAGACTTTTCAAAGTATTTTCAGTGCTCAGTTTGGACGTGAAACCCATCCTGTCCCCAGACGATGCCTGGTTACCAGCGTCAATACAGAGTGGCGACCAGATGATTCCAGCGTCCATACAGAGTGGCGACCAGCCCGGCCTGGCGGGGGATTGTAGGTTCCCGTCACGACGGCCATGGAAACCAGCTTCCCGTGGTCAGCCCAGGTGTCCGCCTTCGTATTTCAGACGTGCCTGGTCACTTGAGGGAGGTTCAAACCTCTGCAGTGCAGCGATACTACAGTTTCTGAGGCAAATTAAACTTTTCCATAAATGTGTCTGATCCTCAGAACAGTCCATCAGGCGGAGAATCCGATTTTGCTGCTCCTGTTTCCTAAGTGAGGACATGGAGTTCTAGCCCCGCTGAATGAACCACCCGAGGCCTGAACCAGAACCCCTCTGCCTCCACGGCCGCCCCTTCTTTGAAAACTTACCATGAAAACGAACAGTTTTTTGTCACCTCAACATAGAAATATCAACGTGGAAACTCTGTTTCTATGTTGACATTTCAATCCAAAGTGTCTATCTGGTCGCTTAATAAGTAAAACAAGGAATCAAAAACCAGGTAGTAAGAAAAGGAATCGGACGTGTTGGCTGCTTAAGAGGAGAGCCTAGGGGCGGAATGTGGCTCGCGAGCACCCGTGCCGGCCTCCTTTTCTGTCTCTCCTCAGACATTTGTTGCAAAGCGTGAGCATAATCCGTTCTCTCCCTAAAACCTGTTCGTGTGAAAGCTTCTCAGACTTGCAAAGAATGCGCTTTTGTTCCCGGAAACAGATTTGCTTCGTGAGGAGGCCCAGCTCAGTGCGGCTGTGGCTTTGAGACTCAGAGTCCAGGGCTCGGGGGTCCCCGTCACTCCTCCGAGCAGCCGTCAGCGGTCCCGCCCCACACTGTCCCCGGCGGGTTCAGCAGGAGAAAGGGCGGGGGTGGGGGGATGGGGGGGTGGGGGGGAGACCCCCGTTCATTCATTTAGCGTCTGAGGCGGGGGAGACTCTGAGTGAAGGGGAAGCCCCCGTTCATTTAGTGTCTGAGGCGGGGGAGACTCTGAGTGAGGGGAGACCAGCGTCCGTTTGGCGTCTGAGGTGGGGAGACCGGCATTCATTTAGCGTCTGAGGCGGGAGGAGAGACCGGCGTTCATTTAGCGTCTGCGGGGTGCCCAGGTTCGACAGCATCTCACCGCATGTTCATAGAAGCCCTTGAAGCTAGCAGCACTGTCACTGCTTTTATCCTGATCAGGACACGGAGCCTCTGATTGTTGAAGCAAACCTTGTTTTTCTCTGACTTCAGCTCTTTGTGTTCTCTTACTGTGAAGGTTAATGTGGTAACAGTTTCCACGGGGCTCACCAGGGCAGGCATAGTACATAGCACAGGTGTGAATGCAATGGGGATCCGAAGCCCAGAACAGGGGAGGAGAGGAGAAAATGCGGACAGATAAATAGGAGGCTCAGAAGGACTTCACTGCGTGGCCGCCTCCAGGGGGGCACGGGGAGCCCCACTCCTGCCTCACTCCGCGAGGCTCCAGGGGGGCACAGGGGGCCCCACTCCTGCCTCACTCGGCGAGGCTCCAGACACAGAAGCCCACGGAGACCTATGAACGGACCAGAGGGTCCTGGAATGATTTCAGAGAAAGTGATCAATGTCTCCACAAATGCAGCTAATGCATTTGAAGAATTCGATTATTACCTCATCTTTATTGGCGGGAATTCAGAGTTCACAACACAAAAGTGCAGTTCCAGGAGCCTTTTGCTCTGATAAAATATTACATTTTCAAAATAGCTACCACTGACATTCGTCTGTCGTGAAAAAAAAAGAATTAAATATCTGAAATCAGCACGTTTGGAGAATGGGCTCTACAGTCCCGTTCTGGACAGTGGAAGTGGGGGATTAGATGCCTGCAAGAATATTGTTATCTCATTAGCAAAAATAAATGTAACTCCTGTCCCTCCACCAAATAAAAGATCTCCAGCCATACAGTGTGGCCTCATGCACAGCATTCTCCTTCCGAACCATTTTCAAAGACCTTGATCTTGGGTGGCCCAAAGAATGATGATGTAACTGTCTCTACTACTGAACATTTAAGAAATGGATATTGTATGTGTAATAACTAAGTCATTTATTAAATAGTATGGTCTAAAAATTAAACAGCTTCACTTTAGATGGCCTCAAACATGAAAATATTCAACTTTAGATATTTATATTCAGTATCCTCAAGTCATTAAAAAAGTATAGCTAATTAATGGATTTGATTCTGGCATGTTTTTAAAAAGATGATTATTTCTGTAGTCGCTTAGCCTGAAATTATAGCCATCGTTAACTTCTTTCTCTCTTTTAACCCCAAACCCACGATTTATGTCTCTACTTTCACAGTCAAAATGGAAGCTTCACCTGGCTGCCAGTGCTCTCTCTGCATTCACACGACACTCCACTCCGACGCCAAATAAAAGGGAAAAAAGTGTTTCCTTCTCGACACCAAATGCAAGAAAAATTCCATTTTTTTTTCTTTGCTACACTCACGCCAATACTTCTGGCCACCAAATGTGTGTATATTTTCCCATGCACCGTTTCTCCCACTACCAGGACACCAACTGGGCGTCCTCTAATTCATTGCTGTCCTGACCCTGACCACCTGCACTTCCCTCAGACCCCGCAGGTTAAGGACGCAGCCCCGCAAGACCAGGGCCAATCCCAAGTCTGGCTTCTGGCCCGCTGGCTAGAGATCATGGGTTCCCATGGCTCTACCTCCAGTTCAGTGATTTGCTTGAATGGCTCACAGAACTCGGGGAAACACTTTACTTGTGTTTACCCACACTATGTAAATGCTCCCACTCAGGCACAGCCGAACGAAGGGGCACATGGGGCGAGGCAGAGGCCAGGGCCATGTGGACTCTCCGTGCCCTCTCTGGGCACCGCCTCCCTGTGTTCAGCCCTCTGCAAGCACTCCAAAACCCTTGGTAGGTTTTGTTTTTCCATTTTAAATTTGTTATTTTTAGTTGACTCATAATAATTGTACATGTTTGTGGGATACTGTGTTACACTCTGATGCGTGCGTGTGTGTGTGTGTGTGTGTGTGTGTGTAGGTTTTGTTTTCCTTTTATAAATGGTTATTTTTGGTTGACTCACAGTAATTGTACATATTTGTGGGATACTATGTTACACTCTGATACGTGTGTGTGTGTGTGTGTGTGTGTGTGTGTAGGTTTTGTTTTCCTTTTATAAATGGTTATTTTTGGTTGACTCACAGTAATTGTACATATTTGTGGGATACTGTGTTACACTCTGATACGTGTGTGTGTGTGTGTGTGTGTGTGTGTGTGTGTAGGTTTTGTTTTCATTTTATAAATGGTTATTTTTGGTTGACTGATAGTAATTGTACATATCTGTGGATCTTGTGTTACATGTTGATACGTGTACATAATGTATAAGGTGAGGTGTATGAACACATGCTCCAGTATCCAGCATCGCATCACTAATCCCCAGGGAAGTGCAAATCAAAACCACACTGAGATACTGTCTCACTCCAGTTAGAATGGCGGTTACCAGAAAGACCAAAAGTAACAGTTCTAGCAAGGATGTGGAGAAGGGAATTCTTATAATGTTGGTGAGAATATAAATTAGTCTAGCCACTAAGGAAAACAGCATGGAGGTTCCTCAAAAAACTAAGCCACCATATGAGCCAGCAATCCCACTACTGAGTGTACAGCCAAAAGAAATGGTATCAGAGCTGCACCATTCACAATAGCCAGGAGATGGAATCGACCTGAGTGTCCATCAACAGAAGAATGGAGAAAGAACATGTGAAATGGGGTAGGTAGACACAGTGGACTACAGTTCAGCTGTAAAAAGAATGAAATCCTTAGGGTTTTTTATGTAGACTTTGTTACATAAGCACAGTGAATTAAGTCACTGGCCATCCCTGATCCAGCTAACCTTCAGTCCCTTTTCCCTTCCTGGAGGTCTGGGGTCGGGAGGGGCTGGAAGTTCCAATCCTCTAATCACAAGGCTAGTTCCCTGAGGACTGCCTTATCCTGAGGCTCTCCAGGGTCCAGCTTGAGTCTCTGCATCAGCGTAAACTCAGGTGTGGTTGAAGGGCTGGCTGGGAATGACTAAGGACTGTCCTTTCAACCTTTATTGCCCTTATTACTTAGGAAACCATGGGGTTTTAGGAGCTCTGAGCAAGAAGTCGCTCTATCACAACAGTGTTCAGATAAATACACGTAAATGAAGCCTATTTCTGGCCACCTCACTTCTGCGATTCTCTCTTCCACTCTACGCTGGTGTCCCAGGTCATCTCAGCACTTTGAGTTTTTTCTAATTCCAATTCATCCTATAGCAAATTTCCTAAACTACAACTCTATGCATGTCACTATCCTACTAAAGCATGTTTAAGCTATCCACAGTATACCTGAATATATTTAAAAATATGATCTTCTATGTTGAGCATCAATGTCAAAGCCTGTGGGTCAAGGTTTCACACTGTCAGGACCCAATTTGTGCCTCCGACTGCATTCCCTCTCGCCAAAATGCCCTCCACTCCAACCCAGTAAAGCCACTGCTGTTTCCCAAATCTATCACATAACTCAGCTCCCTGGCTCGGTGGTAATCTTGTTAACTTGGCCCTCCCACAGTGACCTTGATTAAAATCCCATAATCATCCAGATTTAGACCTATTGGTGCCATTTCAGAGGTGCTTCCCCATCTGCGCAGTCCTGTTTGGTGTCTTCGTTGCCTGGGCTGCAGGTGTGGCAAGGGTCTTTCTTTCTTGCATTTTAATCATTCGATTGGCTGTTTTGAGGCTGTACTGAATGTTGCTTCCCAAAGAGCGGGGTCCTCTCTCATGGGCTGTAGCTCCTCTCAGGAGGATGCAAGTTGTGTTATAGACTTCCCAACTCAGAATAATACACTGGAGAAAATTTCAATCTCTCCAACAAGTCACTAGTAGAAAATAGTAAAATAACTTATCCAAAGTATGTTTTTCAGACCTTTGAATTTTGTGGTTCATAATAAACAGGAAGCCGAGCTCATTTTTCCTGGAACATAGCTCTAACATCTGAGTGTTTCATGTTGTGTGTGTGAGAGCTGCTGTAATCTGTGAACACAGCCTGTCCTTTGCTCTTCTTTGATTTTTCTATCCAGTGCTTTTTGAACTGAAAAGCTTGTGTATAGGCCTTGCATACATTAGAATCTTCCAGCTGTGTTTGAGTGAAGTTGTGACTGCAGTTCATCAATCAACATCCCATTCTGAGGCTCTCAGAATAATAACACCCACACAAGAGACATGGAATTAATATACAGGCCAACACAATCTGAAAATGCATAGAATCACTTTCATGCTACGTACTCAGCCTTTCTATAATACCACAGTATTCCATGGGGTGGGGGGAATTTAGTTATTTCATTAAAGTTATGAATATTATGAAAGTTATATTTTCATATATTGAAGAGAGTAACGATTGCAAAAGATGAAAATAGAGATTAGTGATGATCAAGAAGCAAGCACATATGTTTGGCTATAACAAAATTCATAAGGCTAGGCACAGTGGCTCACGCCTGTAATCCCAGCACTTTGGGAGGCTGAGGTGGGTGGATCACGAGGTCAGCAGTTCGAGACCAGCCTGGCCAACATGGTGAAACCCCGTCTCTACTATAAATACAAAAATTAGCCAGGTATGGTGGCACATGCCTGTAATCCCAGCTACTCAAGAGGCTCTGAGGCAGGAGAATCACTTGAACCCGGGAGGTGGAGGTTGCAGTGAGCCGTGATCATGCCATTGCACTCTAGCCTGGGCGACAAAGTGAGACTCCATCTCAAAAAAAAGAAAAAAGAAAAAAGAGAAAAAGTGGCGGGTAAAACAGTTAGCAATCATAATAGCTGATATTTGCTGAGCATCTAACACACGCTAGGCACCGAGGGCGAGGCTGCGTTTGTTACTCCATGGAATCTCAGAGCACCTGGACAAGGTGTGTAGGACAGCTACCCCGTTTCACGGACCACATGGCTGAGTCGCGAGGATGTTTCCTAATGTCTTATGGCCGCTAGGAGAGAAAGACACAGACCCTCCTGAAGGGTATTTTTTTAGGAGTTATGGAATATGGAAAAGATACCAGAAGACCAGGGATAGAAAAATGTCATTCTAGTTTTCACAATAGGGAAGAAGTGCATTCCAGCAATTAATTATGTACCTGTGAAATTTCCGTCCACTGCAAGCGAAGTTACACAACTCAAGTCTTAATGACACGCTTGTGTATATGTAGGGAGAAAAGCGAAGATGGCCGTGACTGAGCGAGGATCACTAAGAGCAAGTGATGCCAGGGAAACCTCTCCTGTCTTTAGAGACTTAATGTAAATCTGCGTCTTGATCCCATGAAGGCAGAAGAGTGTTTGGAAAAGGCTTTCTTTGACATTAAAAAAAAAAAAAAAAGGTGTGGGTGGAACAGACAGGGTGGATGCATCTTGAGAAGCCGACTCACGGTTATCAGCAAAGGCTGGAGGGCACGGCTGGTGTGTGTTCCCTGCCCACCAGGGGGTGGTACACAGCAGGTGCTCGTTAAGTGCTCAGGGAACTCAACATGCTGAGACCAGCCAGGATTGGGGGTGGGGGAATGTGTCCTTTCGTTAGCAGGGGAAAGGCTGAGGGCATGGGAGTGTTTCATCCACAAGCAGTCTTCAAATGTGAGAGCTGCTCAGGGCAGAGTTGGATGCTGTGCTGTTCCAGAATCAAGCGGTGTGAGGCCTGAGGAAGCTCCAGCTCCTTCCTCACTTCACCCTAGGCCAACTCTGTCCAGGGGGCCCCTTAGCCTGGGGAGGGGATCCGTGCAGGTGGCCTGGTATATGTGACTGTGGCTACATCTTGAGCACATCAGGATACATGGTGCTCATCATAGTGACATCAAAACAAAGGTGAAAATGTTCAGACTGCCACAACAGTGTAGACAAGTGGAAATCTTTTAGGGGAAATAATATGTTTTTAAAATAATGAATGAACCACAACAGCTAAAGCCTAGGTGGCAAGTTAATATAATATAGTTTTGAATTCAACCAGCAGAGATTGAGTTTTTTTAATGTAAACACAGGTGTGTAGAGCTCAGAACTCTACTTAGTCACAGCTCTTATCACTCCCTGACCCCAGGCCTGCTCAGTCCATGGGACAGACAGGTTCCCCCAGGCACCCGGGCAGCTCAGGTGGAGGCAGATCCCAGGACCACCCCAGGTTCTGTCTCTGGGAGGGGTCTGGACTGGAGTTTGCATTTCCCACCACATCCCATAGCCCACTTTGTGCTCCGCGAGGTCTGATGACCACTGCCCTGCCATCTCCATACCGCTCCATGCACTTCTGGCACCAGCTTGTCAAGGCATCAGCGCTTTCAGGCCTAGGCTTAATACTCCTGAAGTGTTGACTGTGAGTGGCTTTGAAAAGCACGACTTCCAGGATGAGGGAACACGATGTTGGGAGCAGAGGCTGCTGGGACCTGCTGCTCCCTTATTGAACTCTTGGAGGAATTGCTCTGTGCGTTGAGAGCCTGGCATGTGTAGCTGCTAACACCATTGACAGAGTGTGCAAGAGCACTCCAAGGGAGAGAGGCGGGTGGGGAAGACAGCCAGGGCTAGTGGCAGGAGCAACGGGCCCATGCACTTGCAAGCTTCTAGTTGTTACAGGAGAAATTCGAGCAGGTTAATCCCTCTTTCAAATGACACTTGCACGTCTACAGCCATTCCCTGCATGGAAACATCAAGAAAGCAAAAATATCCCACGTTCAGAAGAACCCAAATGAGGAAGCAGTGCTGAAAAATAGATGTACTCTTGTGATCAACTCACATGACTGGAATGAATTCTGCAAAAATAGCAGCCGGATTATTCAAAGCTCGTATCAGGCAGCCAGTTGGATGGAGGTTCTCCTCCTGTGTGAGATACTCTCCCATGGCACTCAGAGGACACCAGCATGAAGGTCCTTGTGAACTAAAGCGGGCTCCACATGGGTGAAGGAACACAGAATGAGCCTGCAGCTATTTCTCTCTTTCACGCAAGTTGAGAGACCTCTAGAAATTCAGCTAGTCTTAAGCTGATGGTTTGGCATACGTAAGAAAGTCACAGCAAAAGGGGGTCCCTTCTGTAGTCTGCATCTAACTCTTCAATCTAAAGACAACAGAGACTTATTAAGACGTGCGTATCAAGGGCCCACTATGAGCCAAGCCCCTTGTTACACATTTTTCTCATTTTTCTTTGGCCAGAGCATACTGATATTGGCATATGGGGTGGTTGTGATTTCCAAATGAAATAATAAAATGAAAATGTTCAATTGTGTATAGCTGCCCAATGGAATGTTACCCTGTCATAGAAAGGAAGGAAATTCTACACATCCTACGACTTGGGTGAACCCTGAGGACACTATGCTGAGTGAAATAAGCCATCACAAAAGGACAAGGACGGTGTGATTACCCTAACATGTGGCACTTGGAGGAGTCAGATGCACAGACAGAAGGCCGGATAGGACAAGGATGGTGTGATCCCCTTACACACAGCACCTGGAGGAGTCAGATGCACAGACAGAAGGCCGGATAGGACAAGGATGGTGTGATCCCCTTACACGCAGCACCTGGAGAAGTCAGATGCACAGACAGAAGGCCGAATAGGACAAGGACAGTATGATCCCCTTATACGCAGCACCTGGAGGAGTTGGATACACAGACAGGTCAGAGGGAGGCTGCCAGCAGCTGGGGAGGGAGAATGAGGAGGGCTGTTTAATGGGGCAGAGCTTCAGTTTGGGAAGATCGAGAAGTTCTGGAGATATTGGCAGTGATGGCTGCACAACAATGAGAAAGTGCTTAATGCCACTGAAATAGACAAAAATGCCCATGATGGTGAATCTTATGTGTAGCTGATCTCAATTTAAACATTTAAAAAATTTTTTGCACTTAGTTTTTAGTAAACTTGTATAGTATTTTGCCAACTAAGGTAGTTTTTAAAATTATATTTCAGCACTGGGTGATATAAGGATTTTTAAATTTATAAATTATGCCTAACTCCATAGCCTCAGTCATGATAACATTATGAATTCAATCTTTTAACTCGTTTCAATGATAGTGAAAATATCTGTCTGTATTTTAAAGAATATAAAAGACTTAGCCATGCCCATGGTAAATGGGGGGTTCATAAAAGCATGTGCTTGATCTGTCAGAAGGGGACCTGGTGTTAACATCTAGCATCTTCCCCGGGAGGCCAGCCAGGTACAACATTAGCTTTGCTACTCGACAGCATCGCCCATGGTACCAGGGACCCATCAGGAACCTGGTACCTGTTTAAGAAAGAAAGAAGTGTCTGATGGGAACACTGTGCTTGGGTCTTCCCTGAGGACAGACATGGACAGCTGAGTGCATCCCTGCAGGGGCCCCAGAAGGCGTTCCTCTGGATCCCTTGGAGCAGATGTGGACCTCTCCAGATCCCGGACAGCCTGGGCGCATGATCCACATGGTCTTCCACAAGCCTAGAGCTGTCATGTAAACCCCTGAGACTGCCCTGATGGCAAGATGAGGCTCCTGTCCTGTAGGGAACTGGCCCCTGTGGGCTCATGAACCAAGATAAGGACGTCTGTGCACCAT
Source organism: Homo sapiens (assembly GCF_000001405.40). Classification (NCBI taxonomy): domain Eukaryota; kingdom Metazoa; phylum Chordata; class Mammalia; order Primates; family Hominidae; genus Homo; species Homo sapiens. Next base: position 131,286 of record NT_187565.1, read on the forward strand.
TAAAAAAATAAACCCACAGCAAAGCCGCTGCAGGATGAGCCCAGGGGATGTCAGGGCCCTAGACCGAGAAACAGAGACAGCCAGAAGTTCAGTTCAGTGCCTGAGGCAGGGAATGCGGACTGGAGCTTGGTGTCTGAAAGCAGGGAAGAAAGGAGACTGGGGAAAAGCAAAATAGCCAGGACCTGATGTAGGGCTTATGGAAACCAGGTGGCTGGAGGACAGCACTGAGCAGAACATGCTACACCTGCAAGGTGAATGCGTGGGTGTGGGGTCCTCAGCATGAGAATGAGACCAAACTCTGAACCAAGGGAGAGCATCCCCTAAGGCCGGGAGAAAGCGTCAGGGTAGGGCAAGAGGAGGAAGAAACCGGCTCAGCTGCTGGAGAAACTCACCTCAAGGCCACACATGCAGCAGGACAACTGTGAACTGACTTTGTCCACCCAATACCCACATCAGCAAATTCAAAATGATGAGAACAGAGGCAGATGTAAGTTAAGAACAGATGTCTATGAAAAACGAGGAGACTAAGGAATTTGGAGACCTAAAATTGGGAAGGACCGACTCCAGACTAGATCTGCTCAAAGTCCATCTGGAGGGAAATGCTGAGTTGCCCACGAGAACATGGCCAAGGAATACAAACAAATGAACAGCATGAAGCAGGAGCCCAGAGCTAGGGAGGAAAGATGTAGAGACTCCAACAAGTTAGCAGAATTCCAGAAGAAAAGATCCCAGAGGTCGACAGAAAAGTTGTATCCAGGGAACAGTGGCTGGGAATTGACCAGGATAACATCACCCATCCAGACTGAAAGGGTTCTGCTGTTGCCTGGAAGGAAAAATCCCCAACCTGGACAGATGATGTGAAACTCAAGACCATGCATGACTAAGAGAAACTCTTATTAACCTCACCCAGAAAGATAGGAATCTACAAAGGAGCAAGGATTAGACCAACAATAGATTCTTCGTTAGTAAAAACATATGCAAGAAGATGGTCAAATTATGGCTTCCACGTCTTGAAGAAAAATAAAATTCCCACCTAAAATCTCATGTCTAAGTAAATTAGTCGTAAAAAAAAATTAGTGTCAGATATACAAAAACTCAACCTTCTATTCTACCTGAAAGATTACTCCAATGCATATGAAAGGGGAAAAAAATAACAACAGAAGATACAGGATACAAGAAACAGCAGTGAACAGAGAGATCAATAAAAAATATTGTGTCTTATTGACAATTAAAAACTATGAGTGCTTATTTGAATAATTTAAAGAAGAGGCTTCAATAGGTAAAAGGTGTTAAGATCTTTATTTTAATAAACTTTAGTTAAGGCAAAATACAAAATAAAAGATAAGAAACACTACATAGGTTAAAAATCCAATTAATCAGGAGCATAATAAGTATGAACTAATAAGCTTTTTACAACTAGCATTAAATTTCATAAAATAAAAAGGAGAAATTGACAAACCTACAATTATAGATTTCAGTATATTTTCTCAGAAAAGGAATTGCTCAAGCAGACAAATTAGTGAGGATATAGATGATTTGAACAACACAACGACAAATGTAATATGATAAATATGTATTACCAAGTGTAGAATAAACACTCTTTTTAAGCATAACCCAAAGAGTAACAAAATCAATTACAAACATTTTAAAGAATAAATATGATGTGGCTACTCCCTCATAATGTAATGCAGTTGAGTTAGAAATAATATAAACAAACATCCTCATATACTTGAAAATAATCAAATGTCAACAGAAAGCACTTGATATGGTTTGGCTGTGTCCCTACCCAAATCTCATCTTGAATTGTAACTCCCACAATCCCCACATGTCATGGAAAGAGCATGTTGGGAGGTGATTGAATTTTGGGGGTGGGTCTTTCCTGCTCTGTTGTCTTGATAGTGAATGAGTCTCATGAGATCTGATGGTTTTAAAAATGGGAGTTTCCCTGTACAAGCTCTCTTCTCTTGTCTGCTGCCATGTGAGACATGCCCTTCATCTCCCACCATGATTGTGAGGCCTCCCCAGCTACATGGAACCGTAAGTCCAATAAGTCTCTTTCTTTTGTAAATTGCCCAGTCTTGGGTATGTCTTTATCAGCAGCATGAAAATTGACCAATACAGTACTCTTCTCCATAATTCATAACTTAACAGTGCCGCAATGAATATTGTAAAATACTTGGAATTAATATAAAATGAACTTATATCAGTATTTGTAGGAAGACAGCTAAAATGCAACTTAGATTGCAACCTTAAAAGTTCATACATGTATTTATTGGAAAATGACAAGGAAAATAAAAATAAATGACTTACATAGCAAAATGAGCTAGAAAAAGAACAGAGTACGCTAAATAAAATAAGAGAAAGAAAATGATAAATATAAAATAAAAAATAATCAAAATAGAAAACAAAATGCTAGTTAGTTAAAAATAGACAATCTCTATCAAAACTCACCAAATCAGAAAAAAAATTTAAAGCCTATTAGAAATATAATTTTTTGAAAAAATATAACACAATGAGCAATTTTATGATGTAAAATTTAAAAAGCTAGATAAAAAGGACAATTTGTCTAAAAAATAAAATTGAACAATTCAGTGAGAATGCAAATAAACTTACTACCAGTAAATAAATCCATAATTTTAAATAACTAGATCTCTCTTTCCTTGAGAGAGAGAGAGAGAAAGAGTGAGTGAGTATGTGCCAGGGAATACAAAAGAGGGGAAAGCTACTTGGCTAACATGAGAATGATATATTCTTGGTAACAAAACAGGCCAAGGACAGAATAAGAAAAGAAAATTATAGGTCAGATTGACTGCTGGGAACAGATGGAAAATATTAAATAAGACATTAGACATTTACAGGTACAGAAGTATGCCTATGTATACCTAATAAATATGCATGTGCCCATACTTTTAACACAGTGATGGCTCTCAATCATGTAAGGTTTATCTCAGGAATGCAAGGATGGCTCAGTGCCAGCAAATGTGTCAAGTGGAAGCTTTGCAGGCAGGAAGAGGCCATGTGGCTCATATCAGTGCATGTGCTGCACACCCACATGGGAGAGCCTTAAACAAAATCTGGCATGCACGGTCTACATCCAGCTGCTCACTCACCAGCTAGGTGACTCCCATGCACAGGACGTCGTCTCATGCCCTGCTTGGCTATCTAGGGTGAGCCATCCTTGTTTTCCTGAGGTTTGGGCATTTCTGTTGTTAAAAGATCAACTTAGGCACATTAAAATTCTGTGGAGTTTATTTGAACAGACAGCAGTTCATAAATTGGGCAGCACCAGACTGCAAGCAGTGTAGCACTTCTCTAGGGCTTCAGAGGTGAGACAGAAAATTTCATAAGTTGTTCCTGGAAACAAAACAAAACATGTTGGATTAGTTTGAAAAATCCCTACTTAGAGTTAATTGATAGTTTCTGATTGGTGGAGTCTCTACTTAGAGGTCAGTTGGCAGTTTCTGGATGGTAGAATTCCTACTTAGGGTTCAGCTGGTGGTTTCTGATTGGTAAGGGCTCTCGTTTCATTTCACCATTTACACGGGAGTTTGGTTTGCTTACATAGGAACTAAAAGTGCTGGGGCCATCCCAGCCCATTGGCCTCCGAATTAAACTTTCGTTAACACTGTAGTGGCTGCTGTCACTCACTGTGAGCTCATGGGGTCCAGGATTGTGTCTTGTTCATTGCTGTGGCTTCCATACTAAACAAAGTACAGGAGACATAAGAGATACAAAAGGCTGGGTTAACGTGCTGATGGTGTGTAAGCTGAAGATGACTTAGGGACATGGAACACTGCCCTTTTGTGAAACATTCTTACAATAACAACTTACAAGAACTAATCCTAAAGACAGTCATCCACAGCCACTGAGAGGAGGGGAGAAATATGTTCCACTGCCCGGTGTCAGCACAGTTAAAACCAGCAGGGATGAGCCTGCAGCAGGCACATGGCACAACTCTCCAAGCAGACCTCTACTCCCCAGCTTCAATCCCAGTGCTTTCCATTTACACATAGAGGATATTCAGTGCATGCTTCACACTGAGGCAGAAAAGCAGGGTTTTTCTGTCCTTAAAAAAAATAAGCAGTATTCATCTGATTTGTCCAAGGTGATCTGGCCATTCATTGTGGAGTCAAGCCGATGCTCAGAACCCATTTTACCTTCATCATACACGGCCTTCTGCTTAATTTTCAGATATGCACCTGAAAATATCATCCTGCAGAATGAAAGCAGAAGGGGAGAGATGCATATATATACATATATATATATATATATATACACACACACACATATGAACTTAGAATTCATTTTTAGTGAGAATAATTATGTTACTGTGTGGTAAAATAAACCACTGCCGCAGCATTTTGCCTTTTAGGATAATTTTATGGCTCCTTAGGAGGTTTCAGCACTCACTTTAAAGGTGACATTCTCTGCAAAAATACTTTAATCCCTATATGTCACCAATGATCTGTGATTCCTTTGGTTAGATTTTAATTTAGATTCTACATAAGCATTCGAAATCCTCCTTGCTAAAAATAAGAAGAAAATAATAGTACAGATTAAATCTTTAGTGGCTTCATTGCTTTATAGAGGAACTTAGCCACATTTACGTTGCATTGCGAATGTGTGGCTGTTTTCTCAAATACAAGGAAGTCATGCTGATGTTTCTTCAAGGTCGGTTTGATCAAATCACATTAGGCAAAGGACTTTAAGCTGGTCTTCTAGCAGAAGAAGCCTGGAAAGACTGATGTTTGCAAAGCCTAGGTCTACAGGCCTTGTAGCTAAGGTGACTCAGACAAACCCCATTGCTTCTGGGCCTCAGAGGTTTTGTATTTAAAATGAAGATCAGACCATGGATCTCACACAGTTGCCTATGACTGCTCTTCTATGAGATTGAGAGGAGTTTGTGACCTGCCTTTCATACTTTCTTGAAGAAAAATTAATCATTTTAAGTATTCTTTTCTATCACAGTTTTCTTCCACTCAGAAATATCTTCAACCTGCAGATCCAAAAATAAGATGAACAGTTATTGAAACATCCTTTGTTAGTCTTTAAAGGACGACCCTGACACGTCTGACACATTAAATCAGGAATGGCACGGCAGCGTCTTTGATATCAGGCATTGGCAATAATGAATGAATAATGAAAAGATCTGGTTTCCTATTCTGACTCGGCTGTTGACTGTCTCTGGGGTTCTGGGCAAGTCATTACCTTCTCTTTTACTTCAAGTCTCCTATTTACAAGATGAGGCTAGCACTCATGCCCCTCTTACGGAAAGGAACAAAGCAAATATTTGGACATAGAAACAAAAATGTGCCTGCAAACTGTAAAATGGGAAGCAAAGGCTACTACTATTATTTCAATTGTTACAACCCAGTGTACAGAGAACAGAAACACATGCGATTCAAATACAAGTCAGTGAGCTGAAATGTCTTTCATGCCTGTTACAGGCCGTTAGCAAAAGTTACATTTTCTGTCAATCTGACACATCATTAGAATCATTATGTGTAAGTCCCGATTCAATGTTTTGTAATGTTTTTAAAGACTAAAACTCACTAAATTTAATGTTTAGTAATAGAGTAGGGGCTTTATTCATCTGTTCATTCATTGTGCTCCTTGACTGCACGTCTGATCCATGCTGACAACCTACTGGGCGTCAGCACTGTGTCAAGCTCAGTTCCGTTGGCTGACCAGGTAGACTCTACCCGTGGGCAAAGGACAATGCATAGAAACAGCAGCAGAAAGAAGAAGAGAAAGGAGAAAGGAAGAGGCAGCCAGCTGCCTGGCGCTCAGCAGCCGTTCATGCACGAGTTCCCAGGCCAAAGGCAGCACTGGCCACATCCACCTGTATAAAGAGTCAGCTGACCTATCACAGGCTCGCTGGCGTGGTGATGAGACCGGGGCTTGTCCTTCCAGTGTAGCTTTCAGTCCGACTGCGGAGTGGAGGCACTGGCTCCCGGGCTTACTCTCCTGGGCTATTGGGCAGCTTACTCAGCCTTCCTTTTCTTTAGTTTGGTGTTTTCATTTGTAAAATGAAGACACTGATGCGTGCATGACAGGGACTCTTCTGATGCCTCCGTGTCGATGGCCACCAAGCCCTGAGAACCCTGCCGGCACCCAGCACCCCATGCCAGCCAGCACCGCTACGGCTGCCATCCATCAGGGCTGAACCCTGCCGGCACCCAGCACCCCATGCCAGCCAGCACCGCTACGGCTGCCATCCATCGGGGCTGAATCCTGCCGGCACCCAGCACCCCATGCCAGCCAGCACCGCTACGGCTGCCATCCATCGGGGCTGAACCCTGCCGGCACCCAGCACCCCATGCCAGCCAGCACTGCTACAGGCTGCCATCCATCGGGGCTGAACTCTGGCGTTTGATCATTCGGGGCTAGTTCCACTTCACATACTCATAAGGAAACAAGTGTTTCTCTTTCTGCTTTTTTGCCCCATATTTCATTGCTGTAAAAGCCAGTGGCTAAGATGAAGATTGCAGCATTTAAAAATTCTTTATTGATTGGCTTTGCTTCCTCTACAAAAGCAGCTGCCAAATTTAATCTGAGAAACTGCTTTTATATTCAAGAAATTCTATGCACCTTAAAAAAATAATGGTAGAGGGGATGAAACATCCACTTAACTGAAAGAAGTTAGAATCTGGGGATTAGCCCAACCAAGGAAGCCACAGTCCTGTCTAAATGTTTATTTGTCATTTTCCCATAAAGATTCATGGGGCATATTGTCTTGAAATTGCCACTGAAATTGTTGACTGGGGAGAGGAGACAAAAGAGATGGGCGAGGGAGTCCAGGGTGTGGAATTTATGAAACTTTGTCTTTTGTAGTTGTAGTTCTAGAAAGTCAAGGCCTTTTAAGTTAATTGTAAAAACACATTTGACATTTTCATATTGAAGGCACTGGCCCTGAGCTGTTCTCTTCTGTGTCTGTCATGTCGGCATGCTGTGAATTTGGCTGGTGAGATGCCAGGGCCTCTGGGGACCTCCATGACCTGCCAGCATGCAGGTTACGGGTGATTCCCGCGATCGCGTGTTTGGATTAAACCAGGTTCAGCGGGAGTCGCCTGGTCCAGACACACTGGACCCCGGTGACTTGGGTCCTGACACAGACTGGCCGAGCTGGGGGCGTCCCCAGAGACCAGAGACCCTGGGAATGGCGAGCATCGAGGCGCGGAGTTGCATGGAAGACCCAGGGCCCGCTGTGCTGCTGACTGCTCCAGGACTCACAGGCGGCTGGACCTCCATGGAGGTGACCCCCACAGTCTGCTCTCCTCATGATTCTGCCAAGTTTTAGTCCCAGGGCACTTAACATAGGCTTTGGGACTCCCTTGCCGAGCCACACGTCCCCAGTGTGTGGGTGGGAGTCAGCAGGGGAGGAAGCCCCCGCCATGAGCCCAAAGCCCCTCCAGGAACGTGCGGGACTTGGGTTCCATGAACTCTTGAAGGAGCTTACCTTGAAAATAAGTCACTGAAGATGCTTCCTGTGCCTCTGGCAACAGAACCCATCCAGCTCTCTGCTCTACATGTTCCGAAACAACCCCTGTACTGGTCCAGCTGTGGCCGTCAGGGGCATCCAGTCCTAGGAGTGCATGGCCTACGTGTAGCACAAACAGGAGGGGTTGGTCCTGCCAGGCACCCGCTGCGGTGGCCAGGCCCAAGCACCCGAACCACGTGGTTTAGAAAGGTCTTTTTGCAAAGGTGCTTGCTGCTGAGCCCGTGAGGCTGCTGTGGTGTGCAAGTGTACAGATGGTGCTGTCTGGTGAGCCCACCCGAGTAGGTCCTCGAGCTGGATGACACATTTGAAGAATAGTCCTAATCAATAAGGTGCACAGTCGGACACTGGGCAGCCAACGCAGCTGACCGACTTGGAATTTTTTCTGTATCCACAAACACACATTTGGCAAACCACTGAACACTGGTTAGGTGCCTGGAGTTTTGCTAGACACTGAAGATAAATACACAGATGAGGCAAAACTGGCTTTTTTTTTTTTTTTTTTGCTAGGAGAGTTCAGATATTGTGTTGACAGCTGAGCAGGTCATATTTGTAGGAATCCAAATTTTTATTAAATGGTATAAACCTCTGCTTATTTGTTCTAAATTTCTCCATGATGCACATGGAATCCAGTGCTGTCCATGGTCCCTGGGGTCCTTACACTCTCAGAAACCGAGAATAACACCTCTTTGCAAACCACAAGCCAAGATTCTTTATGTAAATGTTATTGGAGAGAAAGAAGGGACTTGGGCATCTCACTAAGCCTCTCCATGCCCTGCAAGAAAGTGTTTTTGCGAAGTCCCAGAAATGGCGCTGAATGAGGCTCTGTGCTATGGGCGTGGCTGCTTTGCAGGTGGAGCATGGAGACGTGGCCGCAGGGCTGAGGGTTTCGCATTGGAGGATTAATATGACCGTCAGCAGCTCAGCCGCTCTCTCTTTCTGGGTGGGTTTCATCTTGGTAAATGTGGATTCTCAGACTGGCCCTGAGGAAATCTCGTTCCGTTTTCCTGCAGATTATCTGAGTCTGCAGAGATGGGGTCCTTGAGTGACCCAGGAGGCTGACAGGAGACACCAGGTGGAAGAGCCATGTGGGAAGTAGCCTCACGTGCAGACAGCAAGCACTCCACCTGCCTGGCCCATCTCCTGTGTAAGAGAGAGCCCTTAGCATCCTGCCACACCCACCACTGGGTCACTGAGCTACCTCCCGGGAGTGTCAGCATTTTGGGTTTTGGGTTTTTTTTTTGAGACAGTGTCTCACTCTGTTTCCCAGCCTGGAGGGCAGTGGTACAATCTTGGCTCACTGCAGGCTCAACCTCCTGGGCTCAAGCAATCCTCCCACTTCAAGTTCCCGAGTAGCTGGGACTACAGGCGTGCGCCACCACACCAGGCTAATTTTTGTGTTTTAGTAGAGATGGGGTGTCACTATGTTGCCCTGGCTGATCTCGAACTCCAGACTCAGGCAATCTTCCAGCCTTTGTCTTCCAAAGTGCTGGGATTACAGGCTTGAGCCACTGTGCCCGGCCGTCATTGGCATTTTGAGAAACAGAAAATGCTCCGTGAACATGAGTAACATGCATTATCGTTCCTTCCTCCTCCCTTCATCCTTCCTCCCCTCCCTCCTCCATGGTATCATCATCCTTCTTATCACTGGGCTTTGATGCAGGAATGGGCGTGCCTGGTCTGCATGTCACATGCCTCTGGCCCTGGACTCTTGATCTTGTGGATCCAGATGTACAACATTCAGTACTCTGTGTTATTCTTCCTAAAACTTGAGCTTTGCCAACATTTCAATGGTCACTTTGGCTCCGCCGTCCTTATTGCTCCTGGAAGCTTAGGGACCCAGGGCCCTTCCAACCTACTCGGGCCTACTGTGTCCTCTTGTATTTTGTGAACAAGCACAGTTTGGGGATATTTGGGTTTAAGCCCCAGATCTTCCACATTAGCTGTGTGACTTGAGCAGCTTTTGTAGATTTTGGGGTGGTAGTGGAATGAGGGCAACAAAGCCTTTTTGTAAGAATAAATGTGAGTTAAGTGCCATCCATCGGAAGCAGGCAAGGGCTTTATAACCTCCCACACCGGCGCTTTGACTACATCACGCACCGCACACGGGTGTTTCAGTCAAAGACAAACTGCAGGTGCAGCGGTGGCCCTGTAAGATTATCATCAGCTGGAAGACTCCTACTGTCCAGTGACCTCATAGCCGTCACAATGCATGACTCACGTGTGACTTACCCTGGTAGAGAAACCCCCTGTGCAGCCACCGTACGGAAGTGTAGCCGTAGAGGGATGCGCAGTGCATCTTGTGATGGTGCTGACAGACGACCATGTTGCTGGTTTATGCATCTGGGATACTGTACGTTTCATTATTATTTTAGAGTGCGCTCCTTCTGCTTGTGGAAAACCATTATCTGTAAAGAGCCCTGGGCCAGTCCTTCAGGAGGTGTCCGGAAGAAGGCACTGTGGTCGTAGGCGATGGCAGCTCCACGTCTGTCACCGCCACTGCCCCTTAAGTCCTAACAGTGGGACAGGAAGTGAAGCTGGAAGATGGTGATATCGACAGTCCTGACCCTGCGCAGGTAGAGGCTGATGTGTTTTTGGGTCTTAGTGCTTAACAAGAGAGTTTAAAAAGTAAATTTAAAAATTAAAGATTAAAAATAGTAAAAGGGTTATAGAATAAGAATATAAAGAAAAATATTTGTACAGCTGTACAATGCATTTGTGTTTTAAGCTCAGCCTTACAAGAGAGTCAAACAGTTTTAAAAATAAAATAAAGTACAAGAGTTACAGTGTGTGTATGAGTCTGGGTTCTCTAGAGGGACAGGACTAATAGGATAGGTGTATATATGAAAGGGAGTTTATTGAGGAGAATTGACTCACAACCACAAGGTGAACTCCCACCACAAGCCGTCTGCAAGCTGAGGAACCAGGAAGCCAGTCCGAGGCCCAAAACCTCAAAAGCAGGGAAGCCGGCAGTGCAGCCTTCAGTCTGTGGCCAAAGGCCTGAGAGCCCCGGGCAAACCACTGGTGTGAGTCCAAGAGTCCAAAAGCTGAAGAACTTGGAGTCTGATGTTCAAGGGCAGGAGGCATCCAGCATGGGAGAAACATGGAGGCTGGAAGACTCAGCCAGTCCAGTCCTTCCACCTTCCTCTGCCTGCTTTTATCCTAGCCGTGCTGGCAGCCGAATAGATGGTGCCCACCCAGACTGAGGGTGGGTCTGCCTCTCCCAGCCCACTGACTCCAGTGTTAATCTCCTTTGGAAACACCCTCACAGACAACCCAGGACAATACTTTGCATCCTTCAATCCAATCAGGTTGACACTCCATATTAACCATCACAGTATGCTAAGGTTAACTTATTATTGAGGAATGAAAAGTATTTTTTGAAAATTGAATGTAGCCCAAGTTTGCAGTGTGTGTAGAGTCTACAGTAGCATACAGTGATGTCTCGGGCCGCGCATTCACTCCCCACTCACCCATTCACTCACCCACTTACCCATTCACCCACCCACTCACCCGGTCACCCAGAGCAGCTTCGGGTTCTGCAAGTTCCATTCATGGTGAGTGTCCTCTGCAGACGTACCATTTTTAACCTTTTGTACCATATTTTTACTGTAGCTTTTCTATGTGGAGACATGTTGAGATACACAACTTCTTACCCCTGTGTTACAGTTTTCTACAGTCTTCAGTGCAGTCACACGCTGTGCAGGTGCAGCCTGGGAGCAGGAGGCCTATGCCGTTCGGCCCAGGCGTGTAGGGGCGACGCCATCCGGGTCTGCGTTCAGCCCAGGCGCGTAAGGGTGACGCCATCCGGGTCTGCGTTCAGCCCAGGCGCGTAGGGGTGACGCCATCCGGGTCTCCGTTCAGCCCAGGCGCGTAAGGGTGACGCCATCCGGGTCTGCGTTCAGCGCAGGCGCGTAAGGGTGACGCCATCCGGGTCTGCGTTCAGCCCAGGCGCGTAAGGGTGACGCCATCCGGGTCTGCGTTCAGCCCAGGCGCGTAAGGGTGACGCCATCCGGGTCTCCGTTCAGCCCAGGCATGCAGGCGCGAAGCCATGCGGGTTTGTATCAGTGCGCTCCACAATGCTCACACAACCACGAGGCCACCTTACGTTTCTCTGAATGTGCCCCCTCATTAAGTGGCACATGACTGTACTTATTACTTGTAATGATGGAACGTAGAACCCCACTGGTTTGTAGCGTAAGACGATGTTTTCGGTGAAGCGCTATTTTACCAAATTTCTGAGCAGGTTCTGACATCGACCTAACCTCCTGGAACACCTTAGTTCACGTGGATGGATGGATCAGAGTACACAGAACGCTATCTGAGTGGTGAATTAATTCCTTTTGTGATTCCTAATTGTGTGAGGAAAAGTTATTTCCCCTCCATCAGCTTTTTTTCTGTAAATATGCATCAGTTTATACATTAAAAATAAATATCACCGGCCGGTGGCTCATGCCTGTAATCCCAGCACTTTGGGAGGCGAAGGCAGGTGGATCATTTGAGGTCAGGAGTTCGAGACTAGCCTGACCAACATTGTGAAACCCCGTCTCTACTAAAAATACAAAAAAAAAAAAAAAAAAAAAAATTAGCCGGGCGTGATGTCATGTGCCTGTAATCCCAGCTACTCGGGAGGCTGAGACAGGAGAATTGCTTGAACCCTGGAGATGGAGGTTGCAGTGAACCGAGATTGCACCACTGCACTCCAGCCTGGGCGACAAGAGCAAAACTCCATCTCAAAAAAATAAAATGAATAAAATAAAAACCAAAGTAGGAAAAGAGGCCTAAGTTAAAATTTGGTATAGAGGATTTCTCGAGTTGTGGGCTGTTTTCACTTCAGAAACACCTGCTGGTCCCCAGAAGTCAGTACTCCTGTCTCAGGAAGTGCCGGAGGAAGTGCTCCCATCGTGTGGGTGTGGTTACGAGGGGCAACCAGCGCTAGCCACCTGGTTCTTTTAAAATGCATTTTAAATAGAGTGTGTCTCAGACTTTGAAGTCTTTCCCCATCCCAGTTTCCTCCCCCAACCATGTCATGGATATGAGGAAGGGTAAGGGGTCTTTCCATTACTGAGAATTAAAACCAGAAGACCAGTTACAGTTAGCGTTTTGGTCTTAAATCTCATCAGATTCGCTGCTTAGGAGGCCATTTTAGTGCGTTGCTAAGGGAGTTTTTCCAAAGAATAAAATTGCTAATTTAACTTAACAGTAACAAGGCCCAAAGAGCTGTGGCTTTTTAAAAAAAAACCACCATACGTATGTAAGTGGTGACTCACCACTAGCTTTTGACTAAGTAATTTTTTTCTTTTCAAAAGAATGGCTGATATCGAAAATATTTTAGTGAAACTAGCAGTGAGGAAAGAACCGAGAACTATTTTATACATGGAGAAAAAGCCGGGCAACACTCGCCAGAGTTTTCTCCTCCAAGGGCAGGATTTGATCTATCACAATACACACTTCATCAGAAAATCACTTCCGCATGCACAGACTGTGATAACAACGAAATTCTTAGAATGGAGGCGGCAGCAGGCTCTAAAGATATGTTGCTGGTTGCTATGGAAACTGCCATCCACAAATGTTTCCTGAGCAGAATCTGGTTGGAAGTGGAATGGGCTGTAATACCAATATCGTAATATTCACCTTCTCCTTCATTTTTTTTACTAGAAAAAAGCACGTTCACAATTGTGAAGCATGAAAATAGGAACATTTTGTTAAAATAAGATTGGCCACTTTATAATAGCTTCTTATGAAGAAACAAAGCTTATGTTTTATGAAGCTTATGAAGAAACAAAGCTTCAGTGTAGAGTCAGACGAGTGTAAATGGGAGAGGAGAGAACGCACATGCTGGGCTGAGAAAGTGGTGACTTTATCCTCCCTAATGATTTATGGAGCCACGTGGAGCGTTAAGTGCTGAGAATTTAAGAGAATGAATGAAAAGCATAGTCCGCCCAGCCCCTCCCCTCCAGAGGCAGGAGCATGGTCACCGGCGCCAGGACTGAACAGCACGTGGCAGCCGGGTTCTGATGGAAGAGGGAAGGGAAGGAGGGACAGAGGCTGTGGGGGTTTTAGGAGGAAGCTTCGCGCTGTCTGTGGGAGCTAGAGGTGGATAATGACAGCACAGTCATTGCCACGGTCCTGCCGTGTACCCTGTGCCCTCCGGAGCCTCTGCGTGTCCTCTCTAGTTCCTCACGGGAGCCCACGCAGCAGGACCTGCTGCCCAGCCTTGCTGACCAGGGCTCCAGGGCTCAGCCCTGTCATCAGAGGCCCACAGTGGCTATGTTGCTGAGCTGAGATCCTAACGTGGGCCTCGCTCAGTCCCACGGCAACACGGTCTCCAGTCACTTTCCTTCCTTTTTTTCTAGACAAATAGAACGTTGCAGGCAGAAGGACGGAGTGCGCAGAGAGACAGGGTCTCGAAACTGAAACGGCAACGTGAGCAGTATGTCTCCTGCTCACCTTCTTCCCGCCATCCCCTAGGCTGCTTTGGATGAGCCACATGTGCCCACCCTCTCCCCACCATCCCCCAGACTGCTTCCGATGAGCCACGTGTGCACACAGGGCCTGGCATTTGAGGGCAGAGATGTTGCATAGTGAGGTGCTTGCTCTGGAGGCCTCTTGTGTGAAGAGACATGAGACTGTTGATGGGCTGAATGTCCTCATCCCTAGACAATGACAGTGAACGGAGTTTTTATTAAGGTCACAGTATATTTTGATATTTGAGCACCTATGATGTGCAAGTCACCAGAGCCACACTCTAGTAAGTGATAGAGTGAGGATGTAAAGATACAGATGTGGTTTAAAGACTCTTCTCAACCTCTGAGCTCAGCTACCTCTCAGGTCCCATTATTCTAGAAAGCAGAAATGTGAGATTTTACTCCTCTTCATTTTAAGAAGAAAAAAAGGAAGTCTGTTAAAGTAAGGGGAGAAAAGACCCTGATACAACTTCCACCAAATATAAAACAGACATAGCCCTAAATTGTGGTATAAATCGGGTATCTATTTTGAGTTCAAGTTCTCCTTTAGCATACTTTTAAATTCAGGGTGTTACAGTTTATTGAATTTAACATTAAAATGGACTCACGTGGGAAATGGAGTCAATATTTTATACATTGAATTTTGCGTTACGTTTCAAAAGTGAATGTAAATATACAGGTGTAAAACCAGCTGGATGGCACACAGGCACTCCGCTGCGAGTGCACGGCCCACCCTGCCCGAATGCAGAGAAACACTAGAAGCTCTTGAGCCAGCAGAGAGAAAACCCAGAGAGTCTGAGTGGAATCTGTTAGCCGTGCAAATGTTACACAATGCACATTTGCTATGACACAAATCTAAGACTAAAGGGGGAAAACGGCAGAAATTTTAGAAGACTCATGGGCTCTCCTGAATAAAAATCCTGCTGAACTAGTGACCGGCTGAGCGTGGATTGTCGGGTGAGCCGCCCTCTGGGTCCTGAAGGGCCCTTGGTGTCTCTTTACAGAGAAGCAACCCCGACATTGGTGGAGGCAAGCGCTCGTGGCAGATGAACCTGCAGATGAGGCTGGGCACTGCCCAGCTTATGAGGACAAATGGCTCTTTTTATATTCCAGCAACCACGGAACTCTCTGGAGTGCCCAGGGCTGTTTTAGGACATCCTAAACTGCTACTTTCATGCCAAGTTTGGAGGACTGTCTTCTGAAATATCTTTTATAAAAACAAATTTAATGCAAAAGCACGTAAGTCTACATGAAACCCTCCCAGCACGGGTTTTCCAGCCAAATGGTAGGGGCATACATAGAAAAATGAAACATTTGTGGTTGTGTTTTCAAGGCAGAAAAGATGCTGAAGGGAAAAGTCTATGTTCGAAACATAATCCCAGAATAAAAAGCTCCAAGAAATGCAGTTTTGAGGAAGTATTATCTAAACAAAGAGATGTATTAATATAATTGATGTGCAATATTTATTCAGTGTTAATCTTTTCATTAAAATGCATCCTGAGTTTTCATAAATTCTGGCAGATTTAATTATGTATATACTGCTTATCGTTGTATTTTAAAATTGCATAAAATTACGTTACTTATGTCTGTGCTTCTTAAATAATAGAAATGTCTTCACGCCCCTACTTTTGTTAATTGTTCACTGTTTCTGAGAGCGATCAACCTAAGGCCCCATTTAAAGTAGAACTTGGCCGGGCATGGTGGCTCACTCCTGTAATCACAGCACTTTGGGAGGCCGAGGTGGGCAGATCACAAGGTCAAGAGATCAAGACCATCCTGGCAAACATGGTGAAACCCCGTCTCTACTAAAAGTACAAAAATTAGCCAGGCGTGTTGGTGGGCACCTGTGGTCCCAGCTACTCAGGAGGCTGAGGCAGGAGAATCGCTTGAGCCCAGGAGGCGGAGGTTGCAGTGAGCCGAGATCACACCACTGCACTCCAGCCTGGGCAACATAGACTCCATCTCAAAAAAAAAAAAAAAAAAAGTAAAACTCATATTTAGCATCACTGTTGGATGTGAAATTTGCCCTCTCAGCTTGTGAGAGTGGGCTTTCAACAGCTTGACCAGTTTTTTTTTTTTTATTTAATTTAATTTAATTTAAAGTTCTGGGATGTGCAGGACATGCAGGTTTGTTACGTAGGTAAACATGCTCCACAGGGTTGCTGCACCTATCAATGTGGTCCATATACACTATGGAATACTATGCGGCCATGAAAAGGGACAAGATCATGTATTTTGCAGGGACAGGGATGGAGCTGGAAACCATGATCCTCAGCAAACTAACACAGGAAGAGCGTGACCAGTTTCTAAGGGGAACTGTGCACACAGACCCAGAGGGCACCTTACTAAACTCAGGAGCAACAGAGTGAGCATGTGTCTCCTCTGACCTGGCTAGGAGACAGATCCAGGCATAGACCCTCTGGGCTGCTGTGGGTTCAGCCACTGGAGGAGGAGATGGATCCAGGCATAGACCTGCCAGGCTGCTGATGGGTTCAGCCACCGGGGGAGACGGACCCAGGCATAGACCCGCCAGGCTGCTGTGGGTTCAGCCACTGGAGAAGGAGATGGATCCAGTCATAGACCTGCCAGGCTGCTGATGGGTTCAGCCACTGGGGGAGATGGATCCAGGCATAGACCCGCCAAGCTGCTGTGGGTTCAGCCACTGGAGGAGACGGATCCGGGCATAGACCCGCCAGGCTGCTGTGGGTTCAGCCACTGGAGGAGACGGATCCGGGCATAGACCCGCCAGGCTGCTGGGGGTTCAGCCACTGGGGGAGACGGATCCGGGCATAGACCCGCCAGGCTGCTGTGGGTTCAGCCACTGGGGGAGACGGATCCGGGCGTAGACCCGCCAGGCTGCTGTGGGTTCAGCCACTGGGGGAGACGGATCGGGGCATAGACCCGCCAGGCTGATGTGGGTTCAGCCACTGGAGGAGACGGATCCGGGCATAGACCCGCCAGGCTGCTGTGGGTTCATCCACTGGAGGAGACGGATCCGGGCATAGACCCGCCAGGCTGCTGTGGGTTCAGCCACTGGAGGAGACGGATCCGGGCATAGACCCACCAGGCTGCTGGGGGTTCAGCCACTGGGGGAGACGGATCCAGGCATAGACCCTCTAGGCTGCTGTGGGTTTAGCCACTGGGATTGTCCTGTAAACCACAGGATCCTGAGTCTAGCTATTTGTATGACATAAATTTGCTTACATCTTTTACCGTAAACACGAGTTCTGAAAGCAAGCAAAACTTATTTGCTTACGTACTTATGGAAGCTCTTGTAGTTAAGATTTTAAAATTAACTTTATCATTCTTTTAACATTTAGTGCATTTCTCTTTGTTAGACAACCCTTAGTTACATTATCATTTTAATACTGCAAATACATGGAAAGTATGTAGTTAAAAAAACATGAAAAGTTTTATGTTATGAAAGTCATAATCATTACAGAAAAACTTAGAAAACATAGATCAACATGAAAAGATATTGACATATAATCCCAGCGCCCAGCCTTCCCTCCACTGCCCACAGATAATCGCAGGTAACATTTGGATGTTAATACTTCCAGCCTTCCCTCCACTGCCCAGAGATAATCGCGGGTAACATTTGGATGTTAATACTTCCAGCCTTCCCTCCACTGCCCAGAGATAATCGCGGGTAACATTTGGATGTTAATACTTCCAGCCTTCCCTCTAGCGGCTGTACATGGGTTTATTTCTGCCAGTTTCACTTAATGCTTCATGAATATATTCTCACATCCCTCAGTCTTCTCCTGCAAGAGAGGGGTGGCGTGGTGTATTCGTCTGTTCTCACCCTGCTAATAAAGACAAACCTGAGACTGGGTAATTTATAGAGGAAAGAGGTTTAATGGACTCACAGTTCCACACGGCTGGGGAGGCCTCACGATCATGGCAGAAGGTGAATGAGCAGCAAAGTCACATCTTACATGGTGGCAGAGAAGACGGCTTGTGCAGGGGAACTGCCCTTTATAAAATCATCAAATCTAGTGAGACTTACTACCATGAGAAGAGTATGGGGGAAACTGCCCTCGTGATTCAATTATCTCCACCTGGCCCCACCCTTGACACGTGGGGATTATTACAATTCAAGATGAGATTTGGGCAGGGACACAGCCAAACCATGTCTCATGGCTAAAATGTTCAGGGTGAGTGACTTGGAAGTGGTACTGATAAAAAACAAAAGCCTTCATTGATTAAAAGCAATAACTTTAGCTCTATAACAAGACAGAGCTGTGACTTAAGCTTTCTAGGACTGTCAGAAGCATGCCAATTATGAGTTTTCCAGTGTTCATGATCATTGTACTCATGCTGAATATGTGGATGGAGGAAAAAAACCATGCTCTCCCTACACCTCCCTCTACCTTAAGCTCCAGTGCTTTTTGTCTCTCTCCGTTGCCCAGGCTGGAGTGCAGTGGCGCGATCATAGCTCACTACAGCCTTGAACTCCTGGCCTCAAGCGATCCTGTTGCCTTGGCCTCCCACAGCTCTGGGATTATAGGCATGAGTCACTGCACCCGTCTCAATATCATCGTCTTCAATACTATGGCTGAAATATAATTTGCTTAACCAACTCCATATTAATGGGCACTTACACGGTATTAGAGTTTTTAACTGTTAACAACACTACCAAATACTCAAATTGCTACTGAAAAGGGACATTGTGGCTTTCTTCATTTCTGGAGGTCAGTGTCTACAATATTTCCATATTTAAGGCCTTCCCTAACCTTGTTTTGTTTGATGTCTTTCATCTGCCTTCATTTGCATGGTGGGTCTTTGCATTTCTTATGGAATTTTTTAAGAGAGAAAGAGACAGTGTGCCTGATCCTTCAAAGAGCACATTGACAATGCTCCGTGATTCCGAGAACCCTCCCTCCACCTCCTTCTCCATCATCCCTCCTTCAGGGTCTTCTTTCCCCATTTCCAGGTTGATGGTCCCATGATTTTGACTCAGTGTCACCATCTGCAGTCCCCTTTCTCCCCTGCTTACTCCTGTAGTAGGCATAGTAGGCATTTCATGATCATGCTTTGAGCCAGGTCATTCTTTTTTTTTTTTTTTTTTTTTTTTTGAGACGTAGTTTCACTCTTGTCACTCAGGCTGGAGTGCAGTGGCGTGACCTCGGCTGACTGCAACCACCGTCTTCCAATTCAGGCAATTCTACTGCCTCCCGAGTAGCTGGGATTATAGGCGTGTGCCCCATGCCCAGCTAATTTTTGTATTTTTAGTAGAGACAGGGTTTCACCGTGTTAGCCAGGATGATCTTGATCTCTTGACCTTGTGATCCACCCACCTCGGCCTCCCAAAGTGCTGGGATTACAGGCATGAGCCACCGCGCCCAGCCAGATCATTCTTTTTTTTTTTTTTTAATTATTATTATACTCTAAGTTTTAGGGTACATGTGTACAATGTGCAGGTTTGTTATACATGTATACATGTGCCATGCTGGTGTGCTGCACCCATTAACTCGTCATTTAGCATTAGGTATATCTCCTAATGCTATCCCTCCCCCCTCCCCCCACCCCACAACAGTCCCCAGAGTGTGATGTTCCCCTTTCTGTGTCCAAGTCTTCTAATTTGTTCAATTCCCACCTATGAGTGAGAACATGCAGTGTTTGGTTTTTTGTCCTTGCAATAATTTGCTGAGAATGGTGGTTTCCAGTTTCATCCATGTCCCTACAAAGGACATGAACTCTTCATTTTTTATGGCTGCATAGTATTCCATGGTGTATATGTGCCACATTTTCTTAATCCAGTCTATCGTTGTTGGACATTTGGGTTGGTTCCAAGTCTTTGCTATTGTGAATAGTGCCGCAATAAACACACGCGTGCACGTGTCTTTATAGCAGCATGATTTATAATCCCTTGGGTATATACCCAGTAATGGGATGGCTGGGTCAAATGGTATTTCTAGTTCTAGATCCCTGAGGAATTGCCACACTGACTTCCACAATGGTTGAACTAATTTACAGTCCCACTAACAGTGTAAAAGTGTTCCTATTTCTCCACATCCTCTCCAGCACCTGTTGTTTCCTGACTTTTTAATGATTGCCATTCTAACTGGTGTGAGATGGTATCTCACTGTGGTTTTGATTTGCATTTCTCTGATGGCCAGTGATGATGAGCATATTTTCATGTGGTTTTTGGCTGCATAAATGTCTTCTTTTGAGAAGTGTCTGTTCATATCATTCACCAACTTTTTGATGGGGTCGTTTGCTTTTTTTCTTGTAAATTTGTTTGAGTTCATTGTAGATTCTGGATATTAGCCCTTTGTCAGATGAGTAGGTTGCAAAAATTTTCTCCCATTTTGTAGGTTGCCTGTTCACTCTGATGGTAGTTTCTTTTGCTGTGCAGAAGCTCTTGAGTTTAATTAGATCCCATTTGTCAATTTTGGCTTTTGTTGCCATTGCTTTTGGTGTTTTAGACATGAAGTCCTTGCCCATGCCTATGTCCTGAATGGTATTGCCTAGGTTTTCTTCTAGGGTTTTTATGGTTTTAGGTCTAACATGTAAGTCTTTAATCGATCTTGAATTAATTTTTGTATAAGGTGTAAGGAAGGGATCCAGTTTCAGCTTTCTACATATGGCTAGCCAGTTTTCCCAGCACCATTTATTAAATAGGGAATCCTTTCCCCATTGCTTATTTTTGTCAGGTTTGTCAAAGATCAGATGGTTGTAGATATGTGGCATTATTTCTGAGGGCTCTGTTCTGTTCCATTGATCTATAGCTCTGTTTTGGTACCAGTACCATGCTGTTTTGGTTACTGTTGCCTTGTAGTATAGTTTGAAGTCAGGTAGTGTGATGCCTCCAGCTTTGTTCTTTTGGCTTAGGATTGACTTGGCGATGCGGGCTCTTTTTTGGTTCCATATGAACTTTAAAGTAGTTTTTTCCAATTCTGTGAAGAAAGTCATTGGTAGCTTGATGGGGATGGCATTGAATGTATAAATTACCTTGGGCAGTATGGCCATTTTCACAATATTGATTCTTCCTACCAATGATCATGGAATGTTGTTTCATTTCTTTGTATCCTCTTTTATTTCATTGAGCAGTGGTTTTTAGTTCTCATTAAAGAGGTCATTCACATCCCTTGTAAGTTGGATTCCTAGGTATTTTATTCTCTTTGAAGCAATTATGAATGGGAGTTCACTCATGATTTGGCTCTCTGTTTGCCTGTTATTGGTGTATAAGAATGCTTGTGATTTTTGTACATTGATTTTGTATCCTGAGACTTTGCTGAAGTTGCTTATCAGCTTAAGGAGATTTTGGGCTGAGACAATGGGGTTTTCTAGATATACAATGATGTCGTCTGCAAAGAGGGACAATTTGACTTCCTCTTTTCCTAATTGAATACCCTTTATTTCCTTCTCCTGCCTAATTGCCCTGGCCAGAACTTCCAGCACTAGGTTGAATAGGAGTGGTGAGAGAGGGCATCCCTGTCTTGTGCCAGTTTTCAAAGAGAATGTTTCCAGTTTTTGCCCATTCAGTATAATATTGCCTGTGGGTTTGTCATAGATAGCTCTTATTATTTTGGGATACATCCCATCTAATTTATTGAGAGTTTTTAGCATGAAGGTTGTTGAATTTTGTCAAAGGCCTTTTCTGCATCTATTGAGATAATCATGTGGTTTTTGTCTTTGGTTCTGTTTATATGCTGGATTACATTTATTGATTTGCATATGTTGAACCATCCTTGCATCCCAGGGATGAAGCCCACTTGATCATGGTGGATAAGCTTTTTGATGTGCTGCTGGATTCGGTTTGCCAGTATTTTATTGAGGATTTTTGCATCAATGCTCATCAAGGATATTGGTGTAAAATTCTCTTTTTCGGTTGTGTCTCTGCCCGGCTTTGGTATCAGAATGATGCTGGCCTCATAAAATGAGTTTGTGAGGATTCCATCTTTTTCTATTGATTGGAATAGTTTCAGAAGGAATGTTACCAGCTTCTCCTTGTGCCTCTGGTAGAATTCGGCTGTGAATCCATTTGGTCCTGGACTTTTTTTGGTTGGTAAGCTATTGATTATTGCCACAATTTCAGAGCCTGTTACTGGTCTATTCAGAGAGTCAACTTCTTCCTGGTTTAGTCTTGGGACAGTGTATGTGTTGAGGAATTTATCCATTTCTTCTAGATTTTCTAGTTTATATACGTAGAGGTGTTTGTAGTATTCTCTGATGGTAGTTTGTATTTCTGTGGGATCGGTGGTGATATCCCCTTTATCTTTTTTTATTGCATCTATTTGATTCTTCTCTCTTTTCTTCTTTATTAGTCTTGCTAGCAGTCTATCTATTTTGTTGATCTTTTCAAAAAACCAGCTCCTGGATTCATTAATTTTTTGAAGGGTTTTTTGTGTCTCTATTTCCTTCAGTTCTGCTCTGATTTTAGTTATTTCTTGCCTTCTGCTAGCTTTTGAATGTGTTCGCTCTTGCTTTTCTAGTTGTTTTAATTGTGACATTAGGGTGTTGATTTTGGATCTTTCCTGCTTTCTTTTGTGGGCATTTAGTGCGGTAAATTTCCCTCTACACACTGCTTTGAATGTGTCCCAGAGATTCTGGTATGTTGTGTCTTTGTTCTCGTTGGTTTCAAAGAACATCTTTATTTCTGCCTTCATTTTATTATGTACCTAGTAGTCATTCAGGAGCAGGTGGTTCAGTTTCCATGTAGTTGAGTGGTTTTGAGTGAGTTTCTTAGTCCTGACTTCCAGTTTGATTGCACTGTGGTCTGAGAGACAGTTTGTTATAATTTCTGTTCTTTTACATTTGCTGAGGAGAGCTTTACTTCCAACTATGTGGTCAATTTTGGAATAGGTGTGGTGTGGTGCTGAAAAAAATGTATATTCTGTTGATTTGGGGTGGAGAGTTCTGTAGATGTCTATTAGGTCCACTTGCTTATGTACTCAAACAAACACTATCACCCACAAAATAATACGGCTAAATAAATTTAATACTTCTGAGCAACTATCTTGAAGACTTTGATAGTTCTTTGCTATTGTTTTTAAATGTACTTTTTTCACTTGGAGACCCAACATTTTTGTTCTGCATTCCCGTTCCCCTCACTGCGTGCAAAAATCAATGCATGACATCAATCATTGCCCTGATCCGGCCATGGAAAGATTTGGAGAAAGCCTGGATTCTAATGTTGATCCTGACCCATAATAGCATGTCACATTTCAGATGTCTCTACAGTGGGTCAAACATGCAGCCGCTGCTGGGCCTTCAAGGAAGCAAAGTCTGTGTCCTTAGGTCACGCAAAGTCTGGTTTAAAAGCTGACGCATGTTCTGAGAGCTGTAGGCTGTGATGGGGAGGCTCAGCACGGGTCAGGGACGGCACATCCCGGCCCCCCAGAGCAGCTCTGGGAATGCCTCGTGCCTGTCATCCCGGCCTAATGATTATTAATTCCTGTTCTCTTTCCTCTCATCTTCCCCTGATGGGGAAAGTCACTTATATGATCACGCTGACCACACAGCACAGTTCTCAGCCCAGCTGAGCCTCCTATTGCCAGGGAGGTTTTTACACGTACCAATGAAGTCCTCACCCTGGTGATTCCGGGGTAATTGTTCTGAGACAGGGTCGGGCCATGATGGACTAAAGAGTGAAGGGTCACTGGGGCATGGGCAGGCATGCTTAGTCCAGCCCAGGCAGCTGCAGGAATTCTCTCAGAGTTGTCTTGGGGCTGGAGCTTCCAGGGGGACTCGAGTTTGACAGAGCTGGGAGTAGAGCTCAGCGTTTTGGGAAGAGCAGTGGGACGGGACGGCACCAGCGGGCATGGACCTGGGATGTCAGAGGCTCTCACAGCCAAGCTGCTGGCTTCCAGGCACCACAGCCACTGAGTCCTGTCTGCACCCAGACCCCGTTCCTGAGCTCCAGGGTGGGCCTGGCACTCTGCATTCTGAACGGGCAATGCTGAGGCTGAGGGTCCCTGGGCCACACTTGGAAAGGTCAAGGCTTCAGCAGAAGGTGGGAGCAGGGGGTGTGCAGATGACACCAGCTGCCAGGACAAGCCTTGCTGTAAGGATGCAGGATGCGAATGGGAGAGGCACCAAGGGCCGCAGAGAAGGAGCCGTGCTGCACTGGGCTGCCGTGAAGACGAGGTGGGCGGCCTCGGTGGCTGTGACTGTAGCGGAGCTGTGAGGGTGAAGACGAGGTGGGCGGCCTCGGTGGCTGAGGCGGAGCTGTGAGGGTGAAGACGAGGTGGGCGGCCTCGGTGGCTGAGGCGGAGCTGTGAGGGTGAAGACGAGGTGGGCGGCCTCGGTGACTGAGGCGGAGCTGTGAGGGTGAAGACGAGGTGGGCGGCTTCGGTGGCTGAGGCGGACGTGTGAGGGTGAAGACGAGGTGGGCGGCCTCGGTGGCTGTGACTGTAGCGGCGTGTGAGGGTGAAGACGAGGTGGGCGGCCTCCGTGGCTGAGGTGGAGCTCTGAGGGTGAAGACGAGGTGGGCGGCCCTGGTGCCTCGGGCAGAGCTCTGAGGGTGAAGACCGAGGTGGGCCGCCTCGGTGGCTGAGGCGGAGCTGTGAGGGTGAAGACGAGGTGGGCGGCCTCGGTGGCTGAGGCGGAGCTGTGAGGGTGAAGACGAGGTGGGCGGCCTCGGTGGCTGAGGCGGAGCTGTGAGGGTGAAGACGAGGTGGGCGACCTCGGTGGCTGAGGCTGAGCTGTGAGGGTGAAGATGAGGTGGGCGGCCTCGGTGGCTGAGGCTGAGCTGTGAGGGTGAAGACGAGGTGGGCGGCCTCGGTGGCTGTGGCTGAGGCTGAGCTGTGAGGGTGAAGATGAGGTGGGCGGCCTCGGTGGCTGAGGCGGAGCTGTGAGGACACATCCATAATTAAGGCACTGCGGGGCTGGCAGGACTCGCCTTTCTGTGAACCATGGCCCCAGGGCTACTTCCTCCTGCCTACCTTTTTTCCTTTCCAAACTTTGTCTTCCCCCCCATCATTCCCACTCTGCAATTATGTGACACTGTGGTTCTAAATGGCCTATGTCCCCAGGGCCTTGGGATGAGGAGGGGGCCAAGCGACAGGCACCGTCCTCCACGCAGCATGGCTATGTCTCTGCGCTCAACGTTCCCAAGCCTGGGAGACAGAAAAGTACTATTTGGGCAAATATTTAGAAGGTATTTGTTCTGGTAAAGAACAAAATCATAATATTTATTTTAAAAGAGACACCGTAATAAACAGTCCTCTATGAATTGCTTAGTGAAACACTTTTTATGTTGCTTCTCTTTGTATAATTTCTCTATTTGGAAATGCATCATACCTCGTAAGGGCGCCAGTGACAAGGGAGTCCCAGGGTCACCGAATTCCAGGGCATCACTGGCTCACTTGGCAGAGCTCCTGTGGTCCCTACGGTGGTTTTAAAGTTACATGAGTAACACATATCCTACTTAGTGGATTCCCGTTCTGTGGGCCATGGGTGGGACTGGAGTCACACCTTTCCAGCATGTTCCGCCGCTGCCAGTGCTGCTGCATGCAGGCCATATTTGGAGCCTGGTTCCTCCTTCTACACCTGAAGAAGGAACAGGCCTGTTGCAGCGTAACTAACATCCTACATAACTACACCACTAAAACTCAGCTGACTCCCCAGACTCAGTCCCTGGGGGAGGAGGCAGCCAAGGCCGGCACCCCTTTCCCTGTCCAAGTGCCTCCAGGTTGCATGCATGAGTGAGTCCTCCAGCCACCTCCTGCCAGACCTGAGGTTTGCTTGAAGCTTTATCACATCCATCAGCCCAGCACGCTCTGAAAGGGCGCTGGTGCCAGGGTCCCTGTCCCGCCTTGATCCTTCCCTACCTCAGCACCACCCCTGGTCCCATAAACCGCCTTAATCCTTCCCCACCTCAGCATCGCCTCTGGCCTCATCAAATCCGAGGTACCTGTTCCGCCTCCATCACATGTCCCCTCCTGGCTTCCCTCCGCCTCTGTTGCCGGCTCCTCTTCCCTCCCCACATCGAAAACTGAGGTCCCCAGCAGCCCCTTCTCAGCCATCACACAGCCTCATGCTGCCTCCGCCTCAGCAACTCCATCTATGTCCAGGAGCTCCCTCCACAGTAACGACTCCCACATCTTCCTGAGGCCACAACATTCTCCCAACGTCCGGATATCCCACTAGGTAGCTGGCCCACATTCGCTGCGATCATCACTAATGTACCCAAACCATCCTGTTCCCTCCACCAGAGCTCACGGGCTCCCACACACACGGCCCAGGCCCCACACCCTGCTCTCTTCCGTGTTATCTGTCCACCACTCCCATATCTGACTCTTAAAACGACAACAAAATCTAGTTAAGAGAACCGGAACTGCGGTTTCTGCCGATGTCCCATCCTGGGCAGCACACAACCGAGGCATCCGGATCTGAGCCATCTGTGAATTTGCCACTGGGCATGGTTGTAGCGAACACATGCATGCCAGGGCCGTGTCTTCCAGCTGTCTGTCAAGACACTGCCTCAGTTTGAGGCATAGCCCCGTGGCTGGATGTTCTGTGGCTGCGTGCTCTGTGGCCATGTGTTCTGTGGCTGGGTGTTCTGTGGCTGCGTGTTCTGTGGCCATGTGTTCTGTGGCTGGGTGTTCTGTGGCTGGGCGCTCTGTTGCACAGTGAAGGGCCAAGCACCCTCCATACAGGTGTGCACAGGACAGAGGTGACTGTGGGAACAGCACCAAACATCAGCCCTGAGCCGAGGCTATGCGTGCGACAGGTTCATCAGCCCCAGCTGGGGAAGGAGAATGAGAACAAATGGAAGATGCATTCAGCACCAGTGGACATGGAATATGGTCATCTCAGGGCCGCTAGGATGCCCGATGCTTCTGAGCTTGTGGGACACTGGGCGCTCCGGGGAGAGCTGGAGGCCCAGTGGCCCGGCTTAAATTGCCAGGCAAAGGGTGGAGGCAGGACACAGGGAAGAGGAGATGGAGAATTCTGGAGGGAAACAGACCACTTAGGAGGCAGGAGATGCCGAAACATTATCAGCAAAGGCTCTGTGCGGGTTCTGCGCTGGGCAGCTGAGCTGTCGCCTCCACAGCAGCCGGGGTCAGGCTGGGTCAGTGGTTCTCCAGGTGTTTCCCAGACCAGCATCTCTGGGGACCCGAGCTTCTTAGAAACGCAGGTCTATGGATCCCAGCCTATGAAACCAGATTGTCTCAGGACGGTGCCCATTAAAGAGTCTCTGTTTTTGTAAAAGGGGGGTGGCCAGGTCTATTACGAAGGCCTGTGAGCCCCCACCATGCAGTGGATCATGGGGGTTTGATACTTGTCGGGCGGCAGGTGTTATGGATGGGAAGGAGACGTGAGAAGTCCACAATTCAAAGGAAGACACACTGAGTGCCATCTGTGAAGGGTTAGACATTTCTCTGGGGTGCAAATGGACACAAATGACCAGAAGAGAAATCCCTTGTAGAGGAGACTGCTCGGGAGCTGAGATGCCAGGAAGGGGAACGTCGCAGGTATTGGAGCGCGCTGGGCAGAGGGCTGGGGTGGCCTACTGAGCCCAGGATGGAAGGTCTTAGGCACACAGTTCTCGGAGCTGGGACGGAGACGGGAATGGGCCGTGCTGGCCGGTCAGGCTGGGGAGAAGCAGGAGGAGCCTGGGGAGGTGTGTGACTGTCACCAAGTGGGAGAAAAAGTATTTTTCCTTCATCATATTTATCTTCTTGAGTACTTTCACAAGTGTCTGAGAAAGAAAGACAGCCCATAATGAAATTTACCTTCTTAAGTAGGTTATTGTTAGGGTCGACCTAATTATTCCATACCTAACAGAGAGAACGGAGTGTATGCTGGAGTGTTGGCGTGGCTGCATTGAAAATCATTATGTATTCTGAGTGAAACACCCAGAATTTAAGTGGATTATTCTTGAGTGCAGTCATTTGCAAACTGAGTTTGGTGACACCTTACAGAACGTCTCTTGGGGTCCCTTGCAAGAAGCATAATTCAACCTGTGCCTGCAACACCACCATCCACCCAGCCGAACTCTCTACCTGGGCCTGAGAAGCGGGAGAATCCGCCCCATCAACTCTTCTCACGAGAGTATGCACTTGCCTATTAGAAAATGTGTTTGGAATAGTAACCAGCAGGAGTTTCAACATACTCCCAACCCATAAGGCATCATGCAAGAATTATGAAGAAAAACGCCCCCTCATTAGACAGCTCACTTTGATTTCAGTCTCCATGGAAACTGGATATTCAGATGCTCTGAGATATTTTTGTCTTTGGGGTTTTGCATGTCTTGGAATGTGGACATGTGCACAGATACAAAGCCAGATGTGGCGTGTGGCGCAGGCGATGTCGGCTGGCGTGGCCTCCTGCCAGGCAGTGGGATCCGCTGAAAGGCAGAGTGGAAAGTTAACACTGTTGAATGACAGATCGCAAAGTTGAAATCTGAGGCACGATGAAGCCATGGAAACCACATGCAAAGAGATTTGAGAATGTTTTCTGGGCTGGGGATGGGGTTCGGGTCTTCGCAAACCCTCTGTGGATGTGTGTGTATGTCTGTGTGACAAGCACGTCCACAGCCGCCCGGCAGGATGTCCCCGTAAGGTTTCATCCACAGCGTCCCCACTTGGGAGGTGGCCGAGTTCCACTGCCAGCTTTCCCAGCTGCTGAACAGTAGCATCCATGGCAGTCTGAACACAGTGAGGTTTTTCTTCCTCTGTAACGTTTTTTTTTTTTATCTTTTCTCTACACTGAAACTACCGTCCCTGCGTGAGTTTGAGGGCAAGGGTGTTCCTGCTGGCAACTTCACAGAGGGGAGGGCAGGTCTTTCTGGCACAGCAACTGTAGTGGTGACTCGAACCAGAAACCCACCCCTGGAGGAGAGGAGCAGAAAACACTGCTTCCTCCTGGGTGGGTTGAAATCGACCAATGTGAGTGTTCATTGCAAGGAAAGCCAAGATTCATCTCCATTAAGATCCCTTTACATTTCCGAGCTCCATTCCAGGGGCTGGATATTTCCAAAAACTCAAAGGACATTTTTGACTTCACTTTTTCTCTAAGGGAGTTCAGCTTGAGGGCTGAGATATCTGTTTTGTGGTTCAAGGTCATGAGCAGCATCCTAGTCACAGAACAGGCAGGTAGAAAAGGAATAAAGTCAGTGGCCCAGAGACCCCCACTGAGCACTCAGACCTTCGATACCCCATCAGGATGATGGAAGGTTAGGGCCTTTGGTGGTCCTGTGGCCCACCCTCCCGTCATGCAGACAGGATGACCTGATGGCCAGGACAGGAAGAACAGCCACCTCTGAGCTTCCCCGCCCATCGGGCCCCCAGTTTCCACACATTCACCCATGGTAAGGCACAGCCACCCGTGAGCACTGTCAGCTACATCTTGGGGGTCTGGGGAGGGGGGGATACCGGATGCAAGGAAGGTTCCAGACACATCATCAGCTCCTTGGCTGCCGTGAGGGGTGGTTTGAGCAATGTAATGAGCTCATGGCAACCCTGTGAGCGGCTGGTCTGAGAGCCCGTCTAAAGCCCAGAGGGAGATGCTGGCATCAAGTCAGTGAGTGCTCAAGGTCACAGCGCTCCACGTGGACGCCCAGTCAGGTGCAGGTGCAGGTGGGTCCCGCCCATCTCAGGCACTGATTCTCATGCGCTGGGGCAGGGCCCCTCTGGAGCTGCCTGCCTGCAGGTGGGGTTTCCCGATGGTGGGGCCAAGGCCGCTGCAGACTGAAGTCCACATGAGTCCCCCTGCCCCTCGGGGTCCCAGGGGGACCCTGGTCTGTCAGGACTCAGCTGTCGGGGAGAGAGCTGAAAGGAAGATGTCAACATTCGGGCCTGAGCCTAGACAGCTTTGCCCGTGTCCTTCACGCCTGAGCAGGGCTGAGAGGAGGAAGTCAGTCCGCCTGACACACAGAGGCTTGCCAGGACCTTTTGCTTTTCCTTGCAGCCTCGGTGGAGGCGGAGCGCACCTCATCTTTGAGCTTGTCCTGCTGTCTCAGCCCAGGGCCAGTCCCACTGCCAGGGGCACGCCCCCCATTTATATATTAATTAAGCGTCACATCCACGCCCCCCATTTATATATTAATTAAGCGTCGCATCCTCCAGAGGCACTTCCTGACCCTCACCCCAGCTGCATCATGCCACTGAGTGAGTGTGCGGAAGGCACCACCTCCTCCCATCAGCAAGGCTGCAGCGTTCCAGGCAGACCACAGACTCCAGGACGGCAGGCGGTCGGTCTGTCTTGTTCACTGTCTCGGCCTCTGCCCGGCACGAAATCAATCAACATGACTGAGAGGCTGGATCCGAGGCCCCCAGCATGTGGTCAGACCCATTACACATCATCTTGTCTTAAAAAGACCTGATGCCCCATGATGCACACCAGCCCGATGGCCGCTCGCTGATTGGATTCTGAGGAATCTGTTGTTGGCCAACTCCTGGGTCCCTCCCAGCAGCTTTCGATGGATCAAAGCTTGACTCCCATGTCGCGTTGAACTCAGGAGTGAGTTCATGCCGGTTTTTGAGCCACCTCTTTCCTAAGAAAGCTGCGGATTCTGCAGCATTTTGCAAACAGGACGCCCTAGTCTCTCTGCCAAACACCGAGTGTGCTGCACGCTGCCTTCCTCATTGGCAGCATTGTGGGTTACAGAATGTTTCTACACACACGCTTCTCCCAGGCTGCCACCCTGTACGTATTCATCACGCCCTTTAAATATGACCGAAATTCTGTCGTCTTCCTGACTAATGGTGCCGTGTATCTAAACATCAAAGCATTTTCAAGGCAATCACATAATGATTCAAAATTGACTTTGGTGTCTCCTTTGCTGCTTGCACACAGCGGATCAAGAATCTGCTGAATCATAATCCAAGGATTGTGATAATGTGGTCCCAGAAAAGGCCCATTTCATAGTAAAAACTGGTTTGTAAAAATTATTATCAGAAGCATCACCTTTTTGCAGCAAACTAAGCAATTTAATTAATGAAAAAGTGTCACCAGAGAAACACAAATTGCATCATTAGAAAAATAAAATGAGACCGATTGTTGAAGAGTTGTCTAGGATCCTTATGTGACTGGTAACCAGCAAACGCTGAAGGCCCCGGTCGTTGGACGTCAGCAGGCTGTGCCAGGCTGTGCACTGGTGAAATTGGTTTTGCGAGGGAGCTCTGTGATGCCGTGAGCCCGGGTGCCTGCACTCTGGTCGTTGGACGTCAGCAGGCTGTGCACTGGTGAAATCGGTTTTGCCAGGGAGCTCTGTGATGCCGATGAGCCCGGTGCCTGCCCTCCGGCCCCGAGCGGTCTCTCAGTGACAACACATCACAGCACACTAATGAGCGCTGGCGCCCAGGCCTGCAATTAGCCTTTCCCGAGTTCAGAGGGCTGCTTGGCTCTGGGCCTGCAGATCACAGGGCTTCATTTCAATGTGGTCATCTTTGTTCCCTCCGTGCCCCTAGTGATTTGATAAAAGACTCCTATTTTATTGGAGTTGCAAGATTTTTCAGTGTATCCTATATTCAAGCAGATGAAATATGTTGGAGTAGGCCTTTTGTGTATTCGTTTTCATCCCATTTTATTTGTTTTGCTTATCTACATTTTTACAAGATCTAACTCCAAGGGGTTGTTCTCAAGTTATAGTCATAATTCATCGACGTGTTCGATGGCTGGCAACCACAGAAATGGTTGCAGAGAGAAAACAAACGTCTCCACTAGATTTCTTCATTGTTCCTGCTCCTGCTCTAAAATGAAACTCTGAGTTTTCCTGGAGGCTGTGTATGCCGTAAGAAATTTACTGAGAAATGTATTCCAGCATATTTATCTATACTCGGTCTCCTAGAAACATAGGTTTGTATCCTTAACTAGTAGCCCAGAAATCTACTTTGAATACTAATAGGACAAGCTGATGGCAGCAAGTTGAAACTTTAATTCTGATAAGACAGATGGTTCTTCGCAAACCAGCTTCATTTTGAAATAAACTGATATCTGGTATTTACTAAAAATGGTATCTTTCTTACAGGCAATTTTTCCTCACTATGTTAATTGCCATATTTCTCTTCCCTCTAATGCAAAGCATAACTTCCTTCATGAAAGCCAAATATTGTAGCCCCACACACCTCCCCCGTCCCACGCCTCCCCCAGAAGGTTGCCCTTCCTCCCTCCAGGATGCCTCAGTGATGGCAACAAATAGCTGTTGTCTGCAGAGTCACGCAACTCACTACTTGTCATTTTCTTTGTTAATTCTATTTTCAAGGGCATGCACATTTCTGCAGCTCATGAAATTCCTTTAAACTATGATGCAGGGAAATTATAAAAGCTAAACTCCTGTCAATTGTCTCTGTTCTCTGATCATATATATATATATATATATATATATATATATATATATAATTTTTTATATGTGTGTATATATAATTATATATATATATATGTATATGTATATAATTTTTTGTATGTGTTTTTAGTAGAGACGGGGTTTCACCATGTTGGCCAGGATGGTCTTGATCTCCTGACCTCGTGATCCACCCGCCTCGGCCTCCCAAAGTGCTGGGATTACAGGCATGAGCCACCACACCCAGCCTCTGTTGTCTGATCTTAATAAGATCTTCTATGTTGCCTTCCTGCAGCATGTTTGGAAACACAAAATTTTTGAGTTTTTAAAATTCTGGTCATTGAAGTTAGTTTAGTATTCTGAATAACTGAGCACCTTCCCCACAGTAAGGATAAAACCTTTTACTGTGTTTTATGCCTTCAGGTAGAAGTTATTCTAACATGTATCATACCTGGCCTTTTATTGTGTTGAGTCAGATGAGATGACTGATACTTCACTGTTTTTGACCTTCACAAATGCCATCTTCCTATGGTTCAACCTGACATATTTAGACAGGCATTGTTACCTGGCATCATGAATAATGGTTCAGACTTCAGGGAGTTCATGAAACCCTACAAATTTCTGCAAAGTGGTGTGTAAATGTGTCTATGGTTTTTTATCAAACTCAAAACAATCTCTGAGCCTCCAGCAGCACAGACCTGCGTGTGGCTTCAGGTTGCAGGACAGGGCTCAGAGCAGCCTTCCCTGGGGAAGACAGGGTTTGCACACAGCCTTCAGGACCCACCTAGGATGTGTCGGCTTTGAGAGAACACAGGGAGTTTTCTCTGCATCCAGACATGAAAACAGGAGTGGGAGAAGGCAGCCGCACAGGGTGTCCCAGGACAGAGAGCAGGGTCGGGCGTCCCCATGATATGGGGCTCTGTAGGCTGTGCTAGGGCCTCTGGCCACTCAGCATCTTTCCCACCAATGTGCAAGACCAGTGTGTGTCCCAGACAGGAGTGACAACCAGGTGGTTTACATGCATCTACCCGAGGGGTCACCCTACAGACCAGCATGCGTCCCAGACAGGAGTGACAGCCAGCTGGTTTACATGCATATACCTGAGGGGTCACCCTACAAGACCAGCGTGCGTCCCAGACAGGAGTGACAGCCAGCTGGTTTACATGCGTAGACGCCAGGGGTCACCCTACAAGACCAGCGTGCGTCCCAGACAGGAGTGACAGCCAGCTGGTTTACATGCGTAGACCCCAGGGGTCACCCTACAAGACCAGCGTGCGTCCCAGACAGGAGTGACAGCCAGCTGGTTTACATGCATATACCTGAGGTGTCACCCTACAAGACCAGCGTGCGTCCCAGACAGGAGTGACAGCCAGCTGGTTTACATGCATAGGCCCCAGGGGTCACCCTATTCTGCTGAGCATGTTAATATTTTAAGCGCCACGTTCAGAGATTGTCACTTGTCATGATATTCATTATCCATAATTAATATTGCAACTGAGGAATGCTTGAAAGATGTTCTATTCCATGCACGCTTGTTTGTCACTGTCAGGAAAACTTTAAATGGGCTTGGGCTCATTTCTTCTTCAAATTAACTGCAATACCAAGCATGTATTGTTTATAAAATTGATTAATTGCACATATGTAGGAAATGGGAGCAGGCCTAGAGCACTCACAGAGCTGTCAGGATCATCCAGCACCCTCTCTGGCATTTTAAATTCTGTTGTTTTCTTTTTTTTTTTTTTTTTTTGAGATGGAGTCTTGTTCTGTCACCCATGCTGGAGTGCAGTGGCACAATCTTGGCTCACTGCAACCTCTGCCTCCCAGGTTCAAGCAATTATCCTGTGTCAGCCTCCCGAGTAGCGGGAATTGCAGGTGCGCACCACCACGCCCGGCTAATTTTTGTGTTTTTAGTAGAGACAGGGTTTCACCATGTTGGTCAGGCTGGTCTCAAACTCCTGATCTCAAGTGATCCACCCACCTCAGCCTCCCACAGGGCAAAAAGTACTCACAGAGGTTCGGGACCTCGGGTGTTTTTATGTAATGGAATGAAGTCAGTAAACCTTTTCACGTTCTGGAATTGACAGAGGGACCATGAGAACACCCATCCCATGTCAAGAACACGTGCAGCGTGAGCAGGAAGGACGCTGGCATGTGGCCGGACTCGGTTCTGCGGCCCCGGGCTTCTGTCCACACCATGCTTCCTTTGAAACATGGAGCTACATAAGCCTAAGAATTGAGCCTGTCATTGTGAAATAATCCTCCACTGAAGACCACTTGCTCCAATACAACAGAGCCATGTTCTCTGTGTACAAGTGGCTTATGATCGAACTTGTGTCTTATGACTATTTTGTTTTAATTTACTATGAAGAAACTAAACCACGGGCTCTGATGTTGTGAACAGATATCTGTGGAGTAAATTCAATGTGTCAGATGCTGGCTAGGACTTTAATCAGCTGATTTCGTGTCGTCCTCAACACAACCCCTTGAAGATTAACATGTCGCTTTACTGATGAAGCCAGCAGAGCAGGGGACGCCTCTCCTTCCCCTCTGTCACGGCTGCCTTCCTGGAGCCACAGTGGATCACAGCAGAGCATGGTGACTCGACGGTCTCTTCACTGATGGTTTTCGTGACAGGTTTTTCATTGATAGAATTGTAAAATTTGATTCTTTTTTGCAGGAAGACAGATAATTTCTTGTGCATTTTTTATATATTAGATGGGGGTAACATTTTCTCAACTTTAAAGAGATAACTCATAATTTGTTTTGTGGCACAGTCTCTTTGGAGACTTTGGGTTGGAATCAAGAGTAAAGAATGGTTTTTACTAATCAGAGAAGATACTTTATGGGTAAAGACTGCAATATACAAACCTGGAGACCAGCCCTACTCATCTGGGTGGCCAGTGGGTTTTATTCAGTATAATTTCCACACAAGTCTTTGGGTCGGTAGGGATCAGAAAGGACTCTCTCCAGAGCATAAACACAAGGGTACCATTTGGACAGAACTGAGTTTGGAAAGCCTGGCCTGGGTTTCTGCCTCCATAAACCAAAATCAGCAGCTCTCACGTGGGCTGGGCACAGTCGCTGATTCAGTGGCCAGGAGGAGAGAGAAGGGCGGCATTTGGGTTGGGAGAAGGTGCTGCTGTCACGTGGGCTGGGTGCAGTCGCTGATTTCGTGGCCAGGAGGAGGGAGAAGGGCGGCATTTGGGTTGGGAGAAGGTGCTGCTGTCACAGGACTGGGTGCAGTCGCTGATTCGGTGGCCAGGAGGAGGGAGAAGGGTGGCATTTGGGTTGGGAGAAGGTGCTGCTGTCACAGGACTGGGTGCAGTCGCTGATTCGGTGGCCAGGAGGAGGGAGAAGGGTGGCATTTGGGTTGGGAGAAGGTGCTGCTGTCACGTGGGCTGGGTGCAGTCACTGATTTGGTGGCCAGGAGGAGGGAGAAGGGCGGCGTTCAGGTTGGGAGAAGGTGCTGCTGTCACAGGACTGGGTGCAGTCGCTGATTCGGTGACCAGGAGGAGGGAGAAGGGTGGCATTTGGGTTGGGAGAAGGTGCTGCTGTCACGTGGGCTGGGCACAGTCGCTGATTCGGTGGCCAGGAGGAGGGAGAAGGGTGGCATTTGGGTTGGGAGAAGGTGCTGCTGTCACGTGGGCTGGGTGCAGTCGCTGATTCGGTGGCCAGGAGGAGGGAGAAGGGCGGCATTTGGGTTGGGAGAAGGTGCTGCTGTCACAGGACTGGGTGCAGTCGCTGATTCGGTGACCAGGAGGAGGGAGAAGGGTGGCATTTGGGTTGGGAGAAGGTGCTGCTGTCACGTGGGCTGGGTGCAGTCACTGATTTGGTGGCCAGGAGGAGGGAGAAGGGCGGCGTTCAGGTTGGGAGAAGGTGCTGCTGTCACAGGACTGGGTGCAGTCGCTGATTCGGTGACCAGGAGGAGGGAGAAGGGTGGCATTTGGGTTGGGAGAAGGTGCTGCTGTCACGTGGGCTGGGCACAGTCGCTGATTCGGTGGCCAGGAGGAGGGAGAAGGGTGGCATTTGGGTTGGGAGAAGGTGCTGCTGTCACGTGGGCTGGGTGCAGTCGCTGATTTGGTGGCCAGGAGGAGGGAGAAGGGCGGCATTTGGGTTGGGAGAAGGTGCTGCTGTCACAGGACTGGGTGCAGTCGCTGATTCGATGACCAGGAGGAGGGAGAAGGGTGGCATTTGGGTTGGGAGAAGGTGCTGCTGTCAGGTGGGCTGGGTGCAGTCACTGATTTGGTGGCCAGGAGGAGGGAGAAGGGTGGCGTTCAGGTTGGGAGAAGGTGCTGCTGTCACAGGACTGGGTGCAGTCGCTGATTCAGTGACCAGGAGGAGGTAGAAGGGTGGCATTTGGGTTGGGAGAAGGTGCTGCTGTCACAGGACTGGGTGCAGTCGCTGATTCAGTGACCAGGAGGAGGGAGAAGGGTGGCATTCGGGTTGGGAGAAGCTGCTGCTGTCACAGGACTGGGTGCAGTCGCTGATTTGGTGGCCAGGAGGAGGGAGAAGGGTGGCATTTGGGTTGGGAGAAGGTGCTGCTGTCACGTGGGCTGGGTGCAGTCGCTGATTTGGTGGCCAGGAGGAGGGAGAAGGGCGGTGTTCAGGTTGGGAGAAGGTGCTGCTGTCACGGGACTGTGGCTACCTTGGGTGGATGGGAATTAGTTCAGTTCCTCCCGCACTCGGTCATCCTGCAGTAGCTCAGCCTCCAGGACTCAGGCTGCCAGCGTGGGTGGCTGGGGAAGGGGAAGGGACCAGGAATGTACCATCTCAGGCCCAGGGAGCCACGTCCCCCCGCAGAGGCCAGGGATGCCTCCTGAACAAGCCTCATCTCCGTGAGATACAGCAGCCCTCAGGCCCCCACACGGCGGCGGCTTCTGATTTCTAGGATCTATTTTATCTGAAACGATTAGTTCAAGAAGGAAATGTTACTTCCCAGCAAATGGCTCAAACACATGTTGCCCTCATCCCATTCCATGAGAAGTTGGAAGTAAAATTAAAGTTCAAGTGGGCCAGGCGTAGTGGCTCACGCCTGTAATCCCAGCACTTTGGGAGTCTGAGGCGGGTGGATCATTTGAGGTCAGGAGTTCAAGACCAGCTGGGCCAAAATGGTGAGCCCCCATCTCTACTAAAAATACAAAAATTAGCCTGGCGTGGTGGTGTGTGCCCGTAATCCCCGCTACTCGGGAGGCTGAGGCAGGAGAATCGCTTGAATCCAGGAGATGGAGGCTGCAGTGAGCTGAGATCATGCCATTGCACTCCAGCCTGGGTGACAGGGCAAGAATCTGTCTCAAAAAAACAAAAGAAAAAGATCAGGGAAGGTGCTGATGAGACAAGCGGCCCCAGCGTTTGTGCTGGTTTTGGTTATTGATGAAATAGTGGGAGCAACTGCGTTACGTGTGTCATAAAATACATATGATGAACTGACAGAGAAAGCCACTCAGAGAGAACCCAGCATGGCTATGTAGTGTGTCCAGGGACCACCCATGCTCCCCAGGAACTCCCTTCGAACCCACCGTCCAAAGCCAGGGTCAGGCAGCCTCGGGTATGGTTGGCTCAGGGTCCTGTTCCCAGGACGCTCCTGCCCCGGGTGGCCCCGAGCTGGTCCGGCCTCGCGTTGAGGGGTCCAGTGGTTTAAGCCTGAGTTCTGAACATGTGTCAAACAAAGCAATCCCATCCAGGAGGCGGTCGGGATACCCAAATCTCACTTGCATTTCCCAGCAAGCATTCGTGAAAACAGACTTGCTGACCAGGCACTGGCCACGTTGAACATGGTGTGAGCGGCCCAGGCCCTCCTCCGTCAGATGGGCCTGGAGCACGGGGTGGGCGAGCAGGTGCAGCCACGAGGGCTTCAGGAGCTGTGGAGGCGATGGTGTGGTTTGAGCTGATTCACAAGCTCTGCTGGGGTTTTCTTTCCATCTTGTGACCTGGGCCTTCCAGGGAGCTGCACGCGCTCCTGGGACACGTGGAGCTTTCACAGTTGTCCTGAGGGAAGAGGAAAAATATCAGGCACATAACAACTGAGGAAGGAGCTGAAACCTGGAAGAAAAAGACCAAAGTATCATGGGAAAAAAAGGGAAATCAACAGAATTCACTGAATGTCGCAACAGCCGCCTTCCTGAAGAGCTTCCTTCCAGCTGAGCTCCCAGGCAAGTCACTGTCCCCAAAGCCACGTTCCAGGACAGCACCCATCCAGGACAGCTCCCTTCCAGGACAGCACCCGTCCAGGACAGCTCCCTTCCAGGACAACACCCTTCCAGGACGGCTCCCTTCCAGGACGACACCCTTCCAGGACGGCTCCCTTCCAGGACGGCACCCTTCCAGGACAACGCCCTTCCAGGATGGCACCCTTCCAGGACAACGCCCTTCCAGGACGGCACCCTTCCAG
Source organism: Homo sapiens (assembly GCF_000001405.40). NCBI lineage: Eukaryota > Metazoa > Chordata > Mammalia > Primates > Hominidae > Homo > Homo sapiens. Next base: position 169,877 of record NT_187565.1, read on the forward strand.
GACGGCACCCTTCCAGGACAACGCCCTTCCAGGATGGCACCCTTCCGGAATGGCATCCTTCCAGGACAGCTCCCTTTCAGGCTGGCTTCCTTCCAGCTGAGCTCCCAGGCAGTAAGTCACCATCCCCAAAGCCACCTTCCAGGACAGCTCCCTTCCAGGACGGCACCCTTCCAGGAAAGCACCCTTCCAGGACAATACCCTTCCAGGACGACTCCCTTCCAGGACGGCTCTCTTCCAGGACAGCTCCCTTCCTGCTGAGCTCCCAGGCAGCTAGTCACTGTCTCCAATGACTGAAGGCAGATAGAGGGGAGACAGGGCCAGGAAGAGCTGTCAGGGGCTGGAGACACGTCCCTCACCTTTCATTCTCCATGCTGAAAGTGACCTTGGGGGCCAGAAGGGCTCACTGCCTCACGCCTCACCGTCCTGGCCTCCAGCGAAGCACCGGGACGTAGAGAGGCCATCAGATTGCAGCAGGATGATCATTATCATATCAGAAGCTGACCTTCCTATGCAAGAGTTTCAGAGGAGGACATAGAATCACTCTTCACAAAAAAAAAGTAGTATCTGAGTAGAGAAAAAGCACAAACCATGTGAGGGAAAACACACCACAGTGGTTTTTCTATTTTCTCACTCAACAGCAACCAACACAGGAGACTTCGATGACCAAATGTTGGGGGCTTCTCCCCACCACCCAGCAGGTGACCAGCTCTGCAGGGGTCACCAGCCAGGGATCCCCTAATTCAGCACATTCACCTGGCGGGAACCTCAGGTCCCACAGGGGGAGGGCTGGGTCCCCAAGACCACCCACGACTTTGGATGCTGATCACAAGCTCCAGGAGCTTCTAACCAGCCAGTGGTAAACCGAGGCTCCTGCAAGCCCCCCACACGTGGGTTCCATTCATTTGCTGGAGTGGCTCCCGAAACTCTGGGAAGCACCCATGTTTGGTGGTTTATTATAAAGGATACAGATGAAGAGATGAGCAGAGCGAAGGGAAGAGATGAGCAGAGGGAAGGGGACAGATGAAGAGATGAGCAGAGCGAAGGGAAGAGATGAGCAGAGGGAAGGGGACAGATGAAGAGATGAGCAGAGGGAAGGGGCGTGGGGTTCCATTAATTTGCTAGAGTGGCTCCCAGAACTCTGGGAAGCACCCATGTTTGGTGGTTTATTATAAAGGATACAGGTGAAGAGATGAGCAAGGGAAGGGGCATGGAGTTTCTGTGCCTCCCAGGGCACCACCCTCCAGGAACCTCCACGGGTTCAGGTGTCTGGAAGCTCCACAAAAACCCCGATCCCAGTGCTAGGGCGTTTTGTGGAGACTCCACTGGATGGGCGTGACTGAGGCTCAGACAGCCGTGTGGAAATGGGACTGGAGAAAGTCGCTGCGCTCTGTGTTGCTAGCAGACCAAGGGTGGAAACTAGCAAGGCCTATGTGTTCAGACTCTTCCCGGCCCCTCTGTGCCGCGTTTCTTCCTCAGGGGCGTGAGGTAGGACCCTCTGGGGTGAGGGTTTTGGGACTCACAATGAGAAAGGTGGGTCAGAGAATGTCTTTATGGCCAACGCCATGACAGAAAGGCCGGGAAAGGTCCCTGCCTTGGGGAGAGAAAGGAGCAGTGAACGGAGTGGGAGGTCAGAGAGAGACTCCCAACGTTACAGCAGAGGCCGTGGGAGTCATGAGGCGGGCACCGTGGGCGAAAGCCGGTTGCATCCATCGTGACAGCGCCGTCTGCTTGTGCTGTCTGACATACTTTGCATTTTGAGTAATAAATTAACCATATTCGTGTTGGAGCGTTTAGGTTGAAGTCAAGTGTGCTCTTGACCCACATGGAGAAATAGTCAGAGGGGTCAAACCGACAGTAAAATAAAATATTAGACTCTTTACTAATCCACAGAGTGGGCTTTGCTTTTTTATCATTTGGACTTGAATGGCTTAACTGACAATTTGGTGCCAGGCAACCTGAGCCAAGCAGAGCAGTGATGAGGCCCAGCCGACCCTCATCCTCAGCCGTGGCTGCCGCAGGAGACATTTCCCCCCTCCCTTTTCCTCTTTTGGGCTGGAAATCTGCCCACTGGAACCACGCGTGCAGTGACCCTGTGGAGACACGGTGGCTCAAAAGGGAATTTTTTTTCTTGGCACAGGGTATCAGGTACCAGGGTATAACTTTTCCAGACATCTCAATTTGTGTGTGTGTGTGTGTGTGTATGTGTGTGTGTCTGGCCCATATGTGATAAAAACCTTAATTTCAGTACTTTCCAGAACTCTCAGGTGCCGAGAACTTACCTAAATTCATAGTAGTAACATTTTGGATTAAAGAGCTGCTGCTATTTCTGCTCAGTGGCATTTCTCTGTTAGATACAGAGGCTGTGTGTGCCATGCAGCTCTCAGTGAGAGGAAGGAAATGATCACCATTGCGTGGATAGTGGTGTGATGTGGTTGGTGAGACGTGTGGTAATTACTGTTTTCCAGGAAGTGGCCAGAACCTAGGAGCTACCAGGCCAGGGAGAAGCTGCTTCTTTTCTTTCTTTTTTCTACTTTTTCTTTTTTTTTCCCTTAACTACAGCCTAAACACACCTTTTAGAAATTAGTTTAAAAGAGAGCTAGTTATAGAAGTGATTTTAAATTTTTGTAAAAAGTGGCTGAAAGGCTGAACACTTTGAAGCTTCAAGAAAGTGGGGGGGATGTGGGCAGATGGGATTTTGCCGGGTGATAAAGAAGACGGATGCCCGGCCCCGGGACCAGGATGGTCAGTCCCAGATCCAGCCAGAGGGAGGGAGGGTCCGGCAGGGGCCTGGGAGGGTCAGTCCCAGATCCAGCCAGAGGGAGGAGGGGTCCAGCAGGGGCCCAGGAGGTCTCTCATCGTCATGCATGGCTTCTCTGTTGGATGTCACTGAGTGTCCTTCACCACGGTCCCTCCCCCCAGCCCCACTGCACCCTCATATCCACATCCAGCCCTCCTTATGGTCCTCCTGCAGTCCCTGTTCCTCAGACCCATCCCCATGTGACTGTACTTCCCATTCACGGCCCCCCACAGCCCCCCAGAGCTCTGCCTTCTACCTCCTCAGGACACCTCCCAGGAGCTCCAGAGAGACCCAGGACCCCCACTCACCAAGAGGCCCCCTCACTAGACCCGTTGAAGGCAGGGACTCCGTGACCTCGGCTCCAGACCCCCATTACCTTGGCAGAGCCCAGCACAAGCTGGCGTTTGCTGAGTGGATGGGAGACCACGGGCATTTGGTGTGCACAGAGGGAGGGTTTCAGGGAGTGTTCGTGTCAAGTGGACAGACTGCCCTGCCCACCTTCCCATAAGCCTGCACATTTTAGCCCCCAGCACAGAACCACGGCAACGTCCCATCACTAAAGGGAGCGTGGCCTGGCTGCTCTCCATAGCTCACTGCTGCCAGTAAGGGGGGCAGAGTGGCAGAGACCACCGTGGTTCTCAAACTGTGTCCCACAGTGCCTTGGGGTCCTGCGCCCTGCTGCAGGGGTGGCGCCAGGGTGAGAAGCTGACTTGGCTCTGAGATCCCAGATCCCCCCTGGTCAGGAGGCCACCACATCATACAGCTTTGTTTCACTAAACATAAATAAATAAATACGTTCTGAGGCTACACATTTTTGAAAAGTGTTACCCAGCTGGAACCGTGCTAATTCTTTCAGCCTCCTGTTCTAAGAGAGAATCTTTGTGCTGCAAAGTGGGGGCGCTGTGGCTTGCATCTTGACCCCTGTACAGAGACACTTTCAGAAATCACTTGCCAAAGACGTGGACCCAGGGTCACAGGAGCAGGGAGGTCCAGGCAGGCCCTGAGTCCCCAGCAGCCTCGGTCCCTTCTGAGAACCTCCCCAGTTCACACAGCGTGGATCCGGGCTGGCCCTGTGTCCTCTGCAGCCTCGGTCGGTTCTGAGAATTGTGCCCTGTTCACACAGCGTAGATCCGGGCTGGTCCTGAGTCCCCAGCAGCCTCGGTCCATTCTGAGAACCTCGCCTGTTCACACGGCGTGGATCTGGGCTGGTCCTGAGTCCCCAGCAGCCTCAGTCCATTCTGAGAACCTCGCCTGTTCACACGGCGTGGATCCGGGCTGGTCCTGAGTCCCCAACAGCCATGGTTTCTTCTGAGAACCTCCCCGGTTCACATCGCATGGATCCGGGCTGGCCCTGAGTCCTTAGCAGCCATGGTGGGTTCTGAGAACCACACCTGTTCCAACACATGGATCCCAAGCCTTAGGCTCCTGGTGCCACCAGGTCAGGACCCCGGCATCCCTCCACCCTTGAAGGAAACCTGGGAAGCCTGTGCTTTGGGGCCAGTGCATTCCTCGCTTTATTTACTGGGGCTGCCGTAAAACGTGACTCCAGCCTGGGCAGTGTAAACCACAGAAAGGCATCTTCTCGCCATTCTGGATGCCAGAAGACCAAAGCTGAGGCATGGGCAGAGCTGCACTCCCACTGCAGGCTCTGAAAACCCTCCTCTTCCCTCCCACTCTCCATGGATGCCAGCAGCTTGTGGTGACCGTCATCCTGGGGCCACGCTGCCCGGCCCAGACTCTCTTCCCGTGTCCATCCTGCTGTGCTCACTCCAGCCTCTCTCTCTCCTTAGAAAGACATCGTCCTGGTATTAGGACCACCTTCCCTCTGTACGACCTCATCTGAACTTGGGGCCACTGCAAAGACCAAGGTCAGAGTCACAGGCTCCGGGATGAGGCTGTCAACACATCCTTCTAGGGGACACAGTTCAACGCATGACATGTCCTGTCATTCATTCTATGAAAGAAATCCATGCTGGGCGCCCCGTGTCCAGCTGGGATGTGAGCACCAGGCAGAGGCCTGCCCTAAAAGCTGTGGCAGATCCTCCAGTCCTGGGGCTTCCTCCCCTCGCCCAGCTCCTGCACAGTGAAGGGTGGCTGTGGCCAGCAGCAGTGGCCGTGACAGCAGCCACCCTGGCTCCCAGGACAACACCTTGCGGCATTCAGCTCTGAGCTGCTCCCTGCCCAGCAGGCCCCGTACGAGAGCGAAGCGGGCTTTATTCTGGCTCCTAGGAGCCGGCTGTTAATGCGTGGCCACCATCTCCTCAGGAGACCCTCCATGTGGCCACCAAGGGCAGCAAACTGCAGTACATCCCTCTCTGCCATTTCCTGTGCAGGAGAGGTTTCTTCGGAAGCTACTGGAAAGCAGCCTGGAGAGAGACGTCTGCTGCTGAGGACCTTGCCTGCTCCTTCGCTGCCTTACTGAGCTTCCTCAGAAGAACCTCCCACGTATTCGTATTTTCACTGGCAGCTCTTGGGCAACGTGAAATCACCAATGCATCTGCCTCACCCCAAGATGATTCTCACGTCAGAAGCACCTGCTCTGCACGTGCCTGAGAATTCTTTTTTGTATTAAATTTATTATTTGTTGCCCTAAATAAAACCAACCCCAGAAATGGGCCCTCCTTGAAGTGCTGCCATTGTTTGAGAGGAACCAACTTTAAAAGTCCATGTATGACCCTCGATTATTTCTCCAGGAGATGCACAAAATACAGACTCCTATAAAACTCATTTGAGGGCCAAGCGTGGTGGTTTATGCCTGTAATCCCACACTTTGGGAGGCTGAGGCAGGAGGATTGCTTGAGCCCAGAAGTTCAAGATCAGCCTGGGCAACATAGGGAGACCTCATCCCTAAAAAAAAAAAAGAAAAAAAAATTAGCCAAGCCTGGTGGTGTGTGCCTGCGATCCCAGCTGCTCATGAGGTTGAGGCAGGAGGATCACTTGAGCCCAGGAGGTCAAGGCTGCAATGAGCTGTGATCATGCCACCGCACTGCAGCCTGGGTGACAGGGCCAGACCCTGTCTCCAAAGAAAAGCCTCAGTTGTGGCTGCTGAAAGACAGGATCATGCCAGACCATGGATGCTTCACTCCGCTGTCTCGCTGGACGTCTACACTGTCGCCTGTGTTAAGTCCTGGCAGCCAGGTGCTCCATCCAGCACTTCTCAGCCCCCAATGCCATCCTTCATCCCTCAGCTGGTGCCACCAAGTGAGCCCCGCTGGTTCCTTACAACCTGAGTCCACCACAGTGGGAGCTGGATTCATTCTGAGTGGCCGATGCAGTGGCATGGCAGCTGATAGATATGTTTAATATCATCCCTGCTGAAATCCCTCCCGCCACCTGCTCTCTTCTGAATACTTTCACAGAATCGTTTAAATACAACAAAATCCATGGGCCAGTCACACGCAGAAGCACATATTGGAATCCTATTCTATTCTCTCTTAAATATTTGATGTTTGACTAAATCCCAAGCCACTGAATAAATAGTTTAACAGAACAAAAGTGAAAGTGACTAATCTCTCGGCACAATCCTACCATTTTAAGATCCTGTAGCTCCACGTGGATATTCCATGATGAAGGCATCACCGACCACGGCCTCCCCTTCCCCGACTCCTTCCCCGACTCCTCCAGCCTTTCCCGACTCCCCCAGCCTTTCCCGACCCCTCCAGCCTTTCCCGACCCCTCCAGCCTTTCCCGACCCCTCCAGGCTTTCCCGACCCCTCCAGCCTTTCCCGACCCCTCCATCCTTTCCCGACCCCTCCAGCCTTTCCCGACCCCTCCAGCCTTTCCCGACCCCTCCAGCCTTTCCCGACCCCTCCAGCCTTTCCCGACCCCTCCAGGCTTTCCCGACCCCTCCAGCCTTTCCCGACCCCTCCAGCCTTTCCCGACCCCTCCAGGCTTTCCCGACCCCTCCAGCCTTTCCCGACCCCTCCAGCCTTTCCCGACCCCTCCAGCCTTTCCCGACCCCTCCAGCCTTTCCCGACCCCTCCAGGCTTTCCCGACCCCTCCAGCCTTTCCCGACCCCTCCAGCCTTTCCCGACCCCTCCAGGCTTTCCCGACCCCTCCAGCCTTTCCCGACCCCTCCAGCCTTTCCCGACCCCTCCAGCCTTTCCCGACCCCTCCAGGCTTTCCCGACCCCTCCAGCCTTTCCCGACCCCTCCAGCTTTTCCCGACCCCTCCAGCCTTTCCCGACCCCTCCAGCCTTTCCCGACCCCTCCAGCTTTTCCCGACCCCTCCAGCCTTTCCCGCCAGCTGCTGACCTCCACACTCTGTCCCCAGCACAGCTCCCAAACAAGGCTTCCATCTGCCTGTGACGCAGGACATCCCCAGCCTCCTCACCTCTGTCAGAGGCCTGTGCACCATGGCCAACCCAGCCTCTGCGATGCCCTCCCCTCCCCTCCCAGCCTCCTCCTAACCTCCTCTGCGACGCCCTCCCCTCCCCAGCCTCCCTCCTAACCTCCTCTCACCTCCTGCCCACAGCCCACTCATCCCTGAATTAAGGGATCCTCAAACAACCACCCCACACACCTCCCTTTATGAGCATGGGAAATGCCTCTTCAAGACCAAGAAGGGTTCATATCCATCAGCAGCTGGTGACGGACCATGCTGTGTAGGAATTCACCCTTGCTACTCCCATCCTTGGGTTCAAATCCCACCTTTGTGGCTAAAGCTGGGTGAAATCACATCAAACTCTCCAAGTCTTCTTTTCTTCCAGGAGCTCACAAGTGCCGTGACAGTTGAATGGGGCTCTGCGCAGGCCTGCGGTCCGTAAACGGTTGTGATTGCAACCACTTCTTGTGCCCAGTACAACATCATTAAATCGTTCTTTAATCCTTCATTAAATAAACTTGTATTTAGCGGTGGTCTCTGTGCCAGGCACTACGTTAAGGATAAAGCAGTGAGCACCAACAAGCCCTGGTCTCATAGCAGCCACGATTGAGCGTGGGAGTGAGACAGAGGGCCTGAGGCGTAAACAAGTGCCCCTCCACAGTGAGAACGCAGAGCAGGACATGCAGAGCTCAGACGGGGCCGCACTGGGGAGGTGATGCTGGAGGAAATCCTTGCAGCAGGAGGGATGCCTGCCGCCATGTTGGGAGGGGAGGGGGGTTGAGCCATGCGGTAGAGCGGCTGTGCACCAGATGCAGGGCCGGAGCAGGAGAGGACGCAGCTGGGAGGGAGGCCAGGGGCGCAGGTGCCATCATCCCTTCAGGCCCTTCTGGTAAATCCCAAAGCGGGTGTGGCCCTTGCAGTTGGTTTTGTTATGTTGGTGATTTTCATTTTGTTTTTTAGTGAGAATGACATGGTCTGGTATACATATTTCCAGAATTGCTTCCACTTTGTTTCTTTTGAAATCACTAAACAAGGACAAGGGTAGAAGCAAGGAGATGAAGCAGGAAATGTCAGGGTCTCGGGCCCGAGTGCCAGCAGTGGAGACGCTGAGGTCAGATTGAGGAGGATGGAATAATACATGATGTAAACAATCCTCAAGATATACAGGTTCAGAATCGAAGCTCAGCAGGTATTTTCTACAGATGAGGCAAGGGGTGCAGCTGCCAGCCAGCCACAGTGGTCTCTGCAGAAAGTTAACCCTATCATGACTAAAATTAGAAAAACCCTAGCTGGGGTGACAAGGATGCACAGTGAGTTGAACTCCCATAAAATGCAAAACAGAGTAACTGCTTTAGAAACTGGTTTAGCAGTTTTTAAAAAGTTAAGCATATACTTTTCACATGGCCCATACATTCCATTCCTAAATATTTCCCTAAAATGAGGGAAAACTTATGTCCTCACAATATAATTCACACAATTTTTTTTTTGACATGGACTCTTGCTTTGTCCAGGCTGGAGTGCAGTGGCTTGATCTCAGCTCACTGCAACCTCCGCCTCCCAGGTTCAAGCGATTCTCCTGCCTCAGTCTCCCAGGCAGCTGGGATTACAGGCACCTGCCACCACACCTGGCTAATTTTGGTATTTTTAGTAGAGACAGCATTTCACCATGTTGGCCAGGCTGGTCTTAAACCCCTGACCTCAGATGATCCATCCGTCTTGGCCTCCCAAAGAGCTGGGATTACAGTCGTGAGCCACCGTGCCCAGCCCACAAATGATTATATCGGCTTTATTCATAATCACCAAAAACCTGTAACCACCCAATGCCCTTCAGGGGCTGAGTAGATGAACAGAAGAAGGTTCCTCCGCCCAGCAGACTGCCACTCAGGGATGAGAGGAACGGAGAACGGAGCCTGCAGTGAGGGAGAATCTCAGATCCACTGCGGGGCTGGAGGCGAAGGTGTTCAGTTGGTCCACGTTGTAAAACAACCAGAAAATGGCTGCTTGCAGTTTGATTCTACACATATCACATTCTCAAAAAGGCAGAACTGAAGGGAAAAAGCTGCATCTGTGGTTTCCAGGGGCTGGAGACTGGGGAGGGGTTTAGCTGCAGCAGGGCTCAAGCGAGCTTTGGGGTGATGGGATGCGCTGTCTTGAATACGGTGTAGGCTATGGTATGGTTTGGCTGTGTCCCCACCCAAATCTCATTGTGAATGGCAGCTCCCATAATCTCCACTGTTGTGGGAGGGACCCAGTGGGAGATCACTGAATCATGGGGTGGGTCCCTCCATACTGTTCTCATGGTAGTGAATACATCTCATGAGACCTGATGATTTTCTGAGGGGTTTCCCATTTTGCTTGGCTTCCATTGTCTCTTGTCTGCCACCATGTAAGACCTGCCTTTCACCTTCCACCATGATTGTGAGGCCTCCCCAGCCATGTGGAACTGTGAGTCCATTAAACCTCTTTTTCTGTGTAAATTACCCAGTCTTGTATATGTCTTCATCAGCAGCATGAAAACAGACTAATACATGAGCAGTGTACATTCTGCCCAATGTGTAGTCTTTTATCCTTCACCCCTTCCCCCCGAGTCCCCAAAGTCCATTGTATCATTCTTACGCCTTTGCATCCTCATCGTTTAGCTCCCTCTTACAAGCAAGAACATTCAATATTTGGCTTTCCATTCCTGAGTTACTTCCCTTAGAATAATGGTCTCCAACTCCATCCAGGTTGTTGAGAATGATATTATTTTATTCCGTTTTTTGGCTGATTTGTATTCCATGGTATATGTATACCACAGTTTCTTTATCCACTTATTGATTGATGGGCATTTGGGCTGGTTCCGTGTTTTTGTGATTGTGAATTGTGCTGCTATAAACACGTGTGTGCAAGTGTCTTTTTCATACGACTTCTTTCCCTCTGGGTAGATACTCAGGAGTGGGGTTGCTGGGTCAAACGGTGGGTCTACTCTTAGTTCTTCAAGGAATCTCCTCACTGTTTTCCATAGTGGTTGTACTGGTTTACATTCCCACCAGCAGTGCAGAAGTGTTTCCTTTTTATCACGTCCACGCCAACATTATTTTTTGATTCTTTGATTATGACCAATGAGTAGGCACCTCTCAAAAGAAAGAAGACATACAAGTGGGCAGAAAACATGATAAAATGCTCATCATCAGTAATCATCTGAGAAATGCAAATCAAAACCACAGTAAGATACGATCTCACATCAGTCAAAAATGGCTTTTGTTAAAAGGTTAAAAATAACCTGTTTAACAGGTTGGCAAGGCTATGGGGAAAGGGAATGCTTATACACTGCCAGTGCGAGCGTACATTGGTTCAGCCCCTGTGGAAAGCAGTTTGTAGATTTCTCAAAGAACTGAGAGTTGAACTACCGTTTGACCCCATAATGCTATTACTAGGTATATAGCCAAAGAAAAATAAATCATTCTTCCAAAGGGCACATGCCCCCATACAGACATCACAGCACTATTCGCAACAGGAAAGACATGGCCTCAACCTAGATGCCCATCAAAGGGGGATTGAATAAAGAAAATATAGTGCATACACACCATGGAATACTACGCAGCCATCAGGAAGAATGAGATCATGTCCTCGCAGAGACACGGGTGTAGTCAGAGTCACTATCCTAAGTGAATCAACACAAATACTGCACGTTCTCACTCATAAGTGGGAGCTAAACATTGGGCACACGTGGACACAGAGACGGGAACAAGACACCGGGAACTACTGTGCTCACTACCTGGGTGACAGTATCCGTCATACCCCAAACCTCAGCATCACACAATCAACCTACATAACACACCTGCATGTGTACCCTCAATTCTAAAATAAACGTTAAAAAAGAAAAAAAAGCCGGGGGAGCAGGTTTTAGCTGTAACTCTAACAGCATCTACTGAGAAATCATGGAGCAGCCTGATACCTTTTCATCCCCCTGAAGTGCCCTAGGTATGGAAAACAGAGCCCATAATGGTGAGCAGGCATCAAAATGAGAGCACTCCGCACCCCAGCGTTTTGCTTTGGAGGTGCCCCGCTGATTGTTGCAGGCTGTTTCGTGAGGATCAATGAGCGGCTGGGAGTAAACGTCTTCCATACTGGGTCAGGTCACCACCCTAAAGCCCTACAAAGTCGTTGACCCCCATAATTCAGGAACATTGCTTGTCATCCCGGGACCCACCGCAAGGCCGAGCGGAGAGGAAGACAGAACCCTCGCGTGGTCCACGGCAGAACACGAGTGGCACCTGCCGGCTTGGGGAGCTCAACAAAAGGCTTGTCAGACAGAATTACTGTTCACCAACTATTCAATAATGCTTCTAGTGTGTGATTTATAGGAGATCATTACTCTTTGTAACCAAATGGAAAGGTTCAATTTTCAGGTCCCATTTCTTGTTTTTTTCTCTCCCCTAGGAAATCTTAGAAGTAGCTCTTCTAGGATTTCATTAAAATGTCTTCTTCATTATAAAGAAAAATGGTTTTTGTAGTTACTCTTCTCAAGTTTAATTTTGCTGGAGGCAGAGCTGGCCAACACTCCTTTTGAATAAGGAAATATGAGGAGCCCAGGGCATCCTTCAAAAGAGGGCATCACTGTTCTGTTGGGATTATAGGGCGTACAGTAACCAGTGTCTGAAGAACAAGACAGTGAGCCCGTTCACTCTGTGAAACTCAAGACCTGCTTTGACTCCCACCGACTTCATGAGCAAAGGTGCTTTCATGGATGCGTGGCTCGTCCTGGTACATCTCTTAGCTTTTAGTTCCATTTCTGTACGTTTTTGAAGTGTCATCTGAATGATATTTTTTAATCCCTCTGAAGTCTTATTTACACATACATCTACGTGAGAGAGCAATACAATCCTAATAATAATCCTGCAGCACATTCTCGGCTGCATCACAAAGTAAATCTATTCCCATCGCGCCTGTGACTTCCTTTCTTCCCCTCTACACTCCAAGGGCGTCACCTGTTCCTTCCTGTTTTTTATAGTTCGGCTGAGCGCAGCGTGGGTATTTTGAGCTGAGTCAAACTGATTTCCGCTGACACCAGCTTGGGTATTTTCATCACACACCTCCTCATGGTTCCCCCCTCAGTTCCCAGGGCAAATGTTAGTGCTGTCCCCATCGGTGACATTCCTCAGAAGCCAGTCTCTCCCCCTCTCCTGGAGCCGGACCCACCCGTGATGGCTGACTGCTGTTGGCCAACCCACCAGCCCGTTATGCAGACCCACCCTTGATGGCTGAGTGCTGTCAGCCACCCACTAGCCCGTTCTGCAGACCCACCCTTGATGGCCGAGTGCTGTCGGCCACCCACCAGCCCCTTCTGCAGACCCACCCGTGATGGCTGAGTGCTGTCGGCCACCCACCAGCCCCTTCTGCAGACCCACCCGTGATGGCCGAGTGCTGTCGGCCAACCCACCAGCCCCTTCTGCAGACCCACCCGTGATGGCTGAGTGCTGTCAGCCACCCACCAGCCTGTTCTGCCAAGTCAGACGGACATTGTGATCTGTATGCTTTGTGTGACCCTCCAGGAACCTAAACACCTGTGAAGACAGGTTTATTCTCAGGTCATTCCTTCAGAGCAAAGCCTCCACCGCAGACACAATTAATCACGTCACTGCCGCAGGCACTGCACACATAGCCTTTTATCTCAAGAGGGCTTGACCCACCTGCTGGGAATGTCACCAGCTGGCTGTCAGATGGGAGAGGAAGTTGCGGGGGTGGATGCGCACCTGTCCAGGATGAGAGATCCCACCCACCCTCTTTGCCTAGGTCAGGTCTCAGATGACGGCTGGAAGGTACTGGACCATAACACAGGGTACTGGACAGACATGGAGTGTCCCAGGCCATGTTGGTGGCAGGGCTGTGGAAGGCCAGCTGGACAGGCTGCCTCCCCACCCTCCGGCTCTGTCCTTTCCTTCTGAAACCAGCCTCTCTCCCCACCCCTGTGAATCTCCGCTTTGCCTGTCCCTGCTGGGCCGATTCAAGTTCACTGTCTCCATTTGGCCTTAACTTTGAGGAACCTTGCTCTTTTATTGAAATTCTGGCTCAGAAACGCAGCTGCACAGCCTGAGAGCCGGCAGCCCGGTGGTCATCTTCAGAGCCTGTCTACTGTGGTTCCTAATTCCTCACAGCTCACCTGTCTGTGGCCATGATAAACAGCCTCCTTCTGCCCATCTGCACCCAGGAATGTGCATCCAAAGTAGCTCGCTTATTTACTTCCCTGACATTTATTTTCTCATGTTTAAACATATGGATTATTATCGGTTCATAGACTCAGAGCCCACAAGAAACCAGATTATGTGGCCTAGAATAATTGAAAGGTGAGAAAGAAAAAAAAAAAGGTGCCTAATGAAATGATAGTCCCAACCATGGAATGAATAGACCTGATTCCAGATGCCGGTGTCGGGATGGCAGAGTGACCCTGAGTCATTTTGCCCCAGGCAGAGCACCTGTCAGTCTGGTGGAAAATGCATTTTCAGTGGTGGGAGGCAGGGGATTATCTGCTGGTTTAGCGCTGCCTGTCACTCTCTGTTCGTAGGGTTTAATTTACTTTCATTCCCCCTACGTAAGGGGTAAATGTGACCTTCAGAAATCACAGCATTTCTTTTCCCCATTTGCCGTCTTGCTCATGGGAACTTAACTGCTGCTAATTAATGAAATGCCCTCTGTTTTTTAAATCTGGGTGTCTGTCCACTCTCTTCCATTCATCTTACCCATGAGCCTGTAGCCATCTTTGTTTACTCCTCCTTCAGACTGGGACACTGGTGGCTTTCTCTGAACTGTCTGGGGTATGGGTGCCAGCCCTCCTTCCCTTTCCTTCAGGAATTTGCAGCCAGGAGGACACATACAGGCATGAAGGAACATGAGCACCCCTCAGCTCATGTGAGACGTGGTGTGTGTAGACATAGCATATTTTCTCAGAGTTTCCATGACATTTTCAGGAGCTCCTCGCGGTGTGAAGAGCATGCTTTCAGCCCTGGCTTTCCTCAGGTGGCCAACAGCATCCGTGATTCTGGCCACTCTTGCTCCACAAGGCCCTCCTTTCTCTATTCCTCTCTCCATCGACACCATAGATGCCCAGGGCAATGGTCAAACCAACAGAATAGATCTGGTCCGGGACGCGGCACCTGGATGGCAGCCACCCCCACCCCACAAGGCCCTCCTTTCTCTATTCCTCTCTCCATTGACACCGGAGATGCCCAGGGCAATGGTCAAACCAATGGAATAGACCTGGTCCGGGACATGGCATTTGGATGGCAGCCACCCCCACCCACCAGTCGGCTCCTCAGTATGAGAGGTGCATGTTGCTGGGAATGCCGGAAGGCTTGTGAATGGAGGGTCATTATTCTAGCCCCCTCCTTGATGAAGATCAGTCATTAGCCAGGTACAAAGGAACAAGAAAGTAGCTTGGAATGAGTCACGAAGCTGGAGGTTGAGGGAGATGACGGCGCATCCTGGAGACTGAAGGTCAGGCTGCAGCGTTAGCCACATGCAACTTACAGAAAATAACCTCTGGGAACATGTTAATTTATTAGCATTTCACAAATGATGCTGAAACAATCGAAAGGAGCACCTGCTTCCAGTTGCATAGCACCAGCTGAGAGCACAAAGGCCTCTGAGGGTGGAGCAGGGTGAGCCCAGGCAGGGGGGCAACGCTGGGACAGCAGCCAGCAGGCCAGTGTTTCTTCAGCGGCCTTGAAAGGAGAGAGGCTGTGAGTCTGGAGTCAGTCAGGTCTAACACGATGCTCCTTTTCAAAAACTGCAGGACTTCCTGACCTTTACTCCGCTGCCAAACCAGGCGGGGATTGGGGGCGGTGGGGACAGAATAAGATGCTGGGCGCAGGGATGATTAGCCGCCTCTCAAGCTTTCATCCCTCAGGCACTCTGGGGACGAAAGTGACCTCTGTTTGTTTTTGCATAGGAAGCATTGTCCTGGGAAGCTGGCAGGATTTACTGCCAAGGTGAGAAAACACAGCGGCACATTTAGCCACTAATTAATTGCAAATGGACATCTGAAAATTGGATCCATCCTGAAAGGGGGTGGGGAAAGTGGTGTTTACTTGATGGAGGACCTAATTCATAAGCAGAGGGGAAGGCTGTGCGTTTCATTTCCCCTGCTTATCGATTCTTGAAAGCAATAAATGGTAGAGTTTGCTCTTTCATTTCGGTGAGTCATTCATTTCTGTGTCCTTTATCATTCCTATTATGCAAAGGGGTTGGCCAACCGTAAGATGAAGAAAATAGTTGATTTCAAGGTAGTCTTTTCCTTGTGCCTCATCAGAAGCCCCCTGCGGTCCAAGCTGGCTGTTAATTTTTGGTGTCTCTGCGTTGCGATAAAGTAATATGAATAGCCAACAGAATTTTGGCCTGGAAGACTTTGTTGGGATGGAAAATGTGAATGCTATGATTATTTACCCCGGTGGGATTCATTGTGAAAGTATCTCAGCTGCGTATGTAAATTGGGTAGTGCTGGCGTGACTTTTGTTTTTCATGAGAGCTCCAGTCCCTGTGATAAATGTTTTACATAGATTAGTCCTCACCAGCCCCTGTAAGACAGGTGCAATTAGTATCTCTCTTGCAGAGAGAGGCACGGATGCCAAGGGTTGGCAGTGAGTCCCAGGGACGCCCCGCGCAGTGCAGAGCCGAACCCCGGCTGTCTGGCTACAGGCAGAGAGCCTTTAACCACCACTGTACCGAACATCCCCCCTCCGCCTGCTGAGCTTTTCAGAACACAGGAAACGTGGGGCTAGATGTAGGTTTTCAGTCTCCAAAAGCCGGGTCTTGTTTTTATGTCTCTTTGGAGTCCACATGTGATTTAAATGGATTTGTCTCCAGATTGTCTTGGAAGAGGAAGAGGATGGGTGATGGGGGCATCTCAGTGCTGACTCTGTCTTTCTTCCTAATACTCAGGGTCATGTTTCACTGGCAGAAGCTCTCTGCACCCATGGCAGGGCACGTTCCCACACACATATTTTGCTTAAACCCAGAAATACAGCATTGAAGCAAACGCACGGCTGGCTGAGCCCTGACCTGGCCTAGTCCATCACTCATCAGTGATTTGCCAAATAAAGAGTTATGTTAACAAGATAAAAGAACAGGCTGGACGCAGTGGCTCACACCTGTAATCCCAGCACTTTGGGAGGCCGAGGCGGGCGGATCACCTGAGGTCAGGAGTTCTAGACCAGCCTGACCAATGTGGTGAAACCCCATCTCTACTAATAATAATAAAAAAAAAAACCTACAAAACTAGCCAGGCATGGTGGTGTATGCCTATAATCCCAGCTGCTTGGGAGGCTGAGGCAGGAGAATCGCTTGAACCCGGGAGGCAGAGGTTGCAGTGAGCTGAGATCACGCCATTGCACTCCAGCCTGGGAAACAAGAACGAAACTCCATATAAAAAAAAAAGAAAAGAAAAGAAAAGGCTGGGAAGGGTGGCTTACGCCTGTAATCCCAGCACTTTGGGAGGCCGAGGCGGGCAGATCACGAGGTCAGGAGATCGAGACCATCCTGGCTAACATGGTGAAACCCCATCTCTACTAAAAATACAAAAAATTAGCTGGGCGTGGTGGCGGGTGCCTGTAGTCCCAGCTACTTGGGAGGCTGAGGCAGGAGAATGGCGTGAACCTGGGAGGCGGAGCTTGCAGTGAGCCAAGATCACACCACTGAACTCCAGCCTTGGTGACAGAGCGAGACCCCATCTCAAAAAATAAAAAAAAAATTTTAAAAACCATCAAAAATGAAAGAAGGTTGAAGGAGGCATTTTTAAAACCTCCTGGAGCCTAGTTTTACGTTTTCCTACATGATCCATGTACAAGGCCATTAAAACAAACAAAATAGTGTGATAACTGATGAGCGTGACCGTTCAGAGACCAGCCTGGAGGTGGAGATAGAAAGATTTACACTTTTCTTTCCAATGGCAAAGCCTTTTCCAGAAAAATCTTAAGAGGAAGGGTCAAAGTGAGATGATACTTTATTGGATTTTCTTTTTCTTTTTCTTTTTCTTTTTTTTTTTTTTTTTTTTTTTTGAGATGGAGTTTTGCTTTTGTCGCCCAGGCTGGAGTGCAGTGGTATGATCTTGGATCACTGCAACCTCCAGCTCCCAGGTTGAAGTGATTCTACTGCCTCAGCCTCCTGAATGGCTGGGATTACAGGCATGAACCACCACGCCCGGCTAATTTTGTATTTTTAGTAAAGACGGGGTTTCACCTTGTTGGCCAGGCTTGTCTCGAACTCCTGACATCAGGTGATCCACCCGCCTCAGCCTCCCAAAGTTCTGGGATTACAGGCATGAGTCACCGCACCAGGCCAGATTTTATTTTCTAAGACATGAGACTCCCAGAAGGGGAATTTAAAAAATCTCTGACTCCTTGGCTGGCCCAGAAAACTAAACTCATGTCAGGGCACCCAGTGGGTTGATCATGTCTCAGGCTCAAGCTTCCAGCCCGACCCGATTATCCTTCTGATGCCAGGGTCCCCCCGTGGAGAAGGGCCAGGTAGGAGGGGCCCCAATGACTGCTCTCAGCCCTCCTGTGGAACCAGGTCTGTGTTCCTCGGGGGAAAGTTGGTGATGTCTTCACAGCAGGGCTGGAAAATCACCATGCTCACAAGAAATGAAAGCATCCAAGTGGCTGTGTGACATCTGTCACCCCGTGTCATGCTCACATGACGGTCTGGGAGGAATCACACAGTTATGTCAAATGTGATGTGCTTGAGAACGTGTGGGTTTTAAGGATATTTTGAGATTCAGAACACTTGCTTTTCAAGTCACTGTTTCTCTTTTAAAAGAAACGTGGAAAGCCGTTTGATCTGCTTCTTGATAGCTGGGCAGGACAGCACCGTGGTCAACGCTGCACGAGGCTTGCCTTCCTCAGAGTTCTAATCTCCACCCTCTGTCTGTTGTGGTCAGTTCATGTGTCTTTACACTAGAAACATAGCCTAGCATTTGCTGAAAATCATTGCATTTCTTTTTAAAGAATGTATTAAAAATAATCACAGAATGTATGGAACGTCTGCTCTGAGTAATTTATATGCATTTTTAATTTTTTACACGGTAGTCCTGCAGAGGACCTTGTAGTTAACAAAAAAGGCTCAACAAGCCCAGCTCACTGGCATGGCTCGCTCTCGTGGGCCACGGGGTGGGCGGCTTGCTCGGCTGGCTTCTCCCGCCCCCTCCCCACGGTTTCCGGGAGTCCCTGCGCGGTGGTTCCCACGGCCGCCCCGGCCAGCCTCACCTGACCTGGGATGCGCTTCCTTCCACAGCTGTAGCCCTCGGCGTCTCCCCGCCCCAAACACAGAGTAGGAGCTGCAGGCAGCCGTGCGTGGATGTGGGGATGGGCGTGGGACCCTCGTTCGGGGCATCAGGCTGGACCAGAAGAGGAGGGAGACGCAGGAAGAGATGACAAAGAGAGAAAGAAGCAAAGACACGAGCGAGGACAGGGACCCAGGAGAAGAGGGCGGATGGTCTTGGAGCATTTAGCCCTCCCACAGCCCGGCCATCCTCACGTCCCGTGCTCGGGCCCTGGCGCACCTGTTCTTCCCTCCGGCACTGCCTCCTCCTTGGAGCTGGCTTGAGTGAGCCTCCGGCGCGCGCGGCCGGAGAGGCGCAAGGGAGCCCCGCGGCAGCCTGGGAGATAAACCACGCTCGGTGCCGGCAGGAAGGGCAGCGGTGCACCGAGCTGCTGCTGGGCGTTTGCAGGGAGTGATCTGTGGCTGATGAGAGGCCCTGAGGGGTCCAGGGAGTCCGTACTTTGTGGGGAAACTCAGAAGGTTTTCATGAGGAAGTGACCCAGCCCAGGCTTTAAAATGCGTCCCTCTAGACTCTGCCCCACGCGTGAGGAAGTGAGCGTGGCGGGCAGAGACTGGGCTGGACGTGCGTGAGGCCGCGGTGTGTTTCCAGAGTCTCCAGGCGCCACGTGGAGATGAGCACACCTGCTGTTGGCTTGACGGACCCAGAAGCTGAACTGCTGTGTAAGAGGCTCAGGGAGCAGGACCTGAGGGCGTCTCCACAGGGCAGGGAGGCAGGCGCAGAACGTGAGGACAAGGGAAGGCTGAACTGCTGTGCAAGAGGCTCAGGAAGCAGGACCTGAGGGCGTCTACACAGAGCAGGGAGGCAGGCGCAGAACGTGAGGACAAGGGAAGGCTGAACTGCTGTGCAGGAGGCTCAGGGAGCAGGACCTGAGGGCGTCTACACAGAGCAGGGAGGCAGGTGCAGGAGGTGGGGACCAGGGAGGCAGGTGCAGGACGTGGGGACCAGGAAGGCAGGTGCAGAATGTGGGGACCAGGGAGGCATGTGCAGGACATGGGGACCAGGGAGGCAGGCAGGGCTGCCAGGAGCAGCCACAGACCACAGGGCTTTTGTAAGGGTCTGGGAGCTGTGGTTTGCTCACAATTGTTCATTGATTAGTGCCTGTTAGTTTCAAACATAGCAACACAATATAGTAATGAGAATGAAACTCCTTTTAAAAAGAGTCTTAAAAAGGTGGGCAACAGTGTTCTTGCCCATGGGTTTAGCGTGATATGGAAACTGGGATGTTTTGCCCCATTTCAAACACTGTTCTAGGAAGAGGACCACAGCAGTCCATGTGGAGGCAGCTGGAAGGAAGAAAGACAAAGCCGGCTTCCTTCCTGGGAGCCAGCGTGGGCTGAGGAGCTGGTGAGGTGCCAGAGAGCAGCCAGGGCAGGCCCTCCAGGTGCCAAGGCCACAGCCTCCTGGGCTCTGAGCTCCATGAGCTTCTGAATGAACAGTGAGCTGGCTCAGCCACAGCTCTCAGCTTTGCAGGGCTTCTTGTCAGCAGTCAGACCCGTATCACTGCCTGGTCCAACAGAGTCAATGGCCTTGATTTCCAGAATTCATCATTTCTGATTTAAAAAAGAAAACATCCATGATTATTTTAAGACACGGACATGAGTTCCTTAGATCCTCATTGCGCAGGGACACTTCAAAAGAAAAAGGGAAATTGGAAACCTTCTGGCTTAGGCCTGCGACTGGACGGCTCTGCCCCAGAGCGGTGCCCGCCGACCCAGGGTCCTCCATGGTCTGTGATGTTTTGATCACGACGGCTGAGGCCTTTGGTGAGAGCCCAGAACAGCCATCCAGACACTCGAAGGAGGTTCACGCTGATTCAGAGTCATCAGGGTA
Source organism: Homo sapiens (assembly GCF_000001405.40). Taxonomy (NCBI): domain Eukaryota; kingdom Metazoa; phylum Chordata; class Mammalia; order Primates; family Hominidae; genus Homo; species Homo sapiens. The sequence goes on from NT_187565.1 coordinate 190,141, forward strand.
AAACCAATTCAGACCCAACTTACAAGCTGGACAGGAATTTCTGGTGAAAGTGGCTGAGGCATTTGATAGAAAGATATTCATGTTGTTAGTCCGTAAACTCTTATGGGAGATCCATGAAAAATTAAACCAACCATAGTTGGGCATCATATCTGAGGGACAGAGGTGGTAGCAGAGCCTTCTGTGGCTTCTGAGATGGCTTCATGTCCTCCCACCCTGAGTCATCGGCTGTATCACAATATTTCCTGGCAGCAGAGAGCAGACCTGGTCTCTCAGCCTTTCAGCCCCCTCCCCTTCCTGCTCTGCCGTCTCCTTTGCTGTCTGCCCCCTAGGACCTTCATTTTGCCACAGTGGCTGCAATGTCAATAAGAAGGCATTATCTTAAATTCCGCTAATAATAACTGCAATGAGGATGAAAATTTTACATTACCATCAGGCATTGCCACGGCCTCTCTTAAAGAACTATAGAGAATGATGTGGACACTTACAAATATGCCTTGACAGGAAGTTTCAGAAACAAGCTTGGAAATTGGGACGATGTTAATGCAGCTGCCCTGTCATTTTCCATAAAATTATTTTTATCTTCCTTTCCTCTCATCTTGCCAGATAATTATGATACGCTTTTTTTGTATAATTTTGATTAGGTTGATTAGCCAGACCCACTCTACGCTGTAAAATGCAGCTAATGAATTGCAGATTTTTTCATATCATTTTTCCACCTAGAGCATAGGCAGGACTTATCTATGATTCAAATGCAGAAAATGTTTTTAAGAGCGTTCATGCAGATGCAGGATTCAAGGAAAACCAGTTGAGAGGCACAAGTGCCATGAGGCTTCACATAAGAAAGGAAGCAGGGAAAGCATGTATGTAAGTAATGGACTCGCTGGATGCAGATTTTTATAGCAGACGCGGTTAAGGAAATTTGGAGAGGCCGTGTGTCCCACGTTGCGTCCATGTGAAGATGGCGACGCTGGTTTATCCCCGTTCTTGGTTCACTGAAGGAGAACGCTTCAGTTCCCCCTCCCAGCTCCCACTGTGGGAAGACAGGTGTGGTCTGAAGCGCTGCCCCTACTTGACAGAGGGAGGAAAAGGGAACCTTTGAAAGGGCCCAGGGAGGTCATAGAAGGTCAGTCATCAGGCTGAGCATGGTGGCTCATGCTTGTAATCCCAGCACTTTGGGAGGCTGAGGCAGATGGATCACTTGAAGTTAGGAGTTTGAGAACAGCCTGGCCAACATGGCGAAACCCCATCTCTACTAAAATACAAAAATTAGCTGGGTGTGGTGGTTGGCACCTGTCGTCCCAGCTACTCAGGAGGAGGCTGAGGCAGGAGGATCGCTTGAACCCCGGAGGTGGAGGCTGCAGTGAGCCGAGATCGCGCCACTGCACTCCAGCCTGGGTGACAGAAAGAGACTCCATCTCAAAAAATTATAATAATTTTAAAAAGGAAGATCAGTCATCAGCATGGTCTTCAAGATCTCTGCTCGCGTCCCGTGCTCTGCCAAGATGCTGCATGGACATGTTTCTCACCTCATCTTCAGAACCACCCTTGGCACAAACAGCATGATGACCATCCTACAGATAAGGAAACCAAGGCTTTCATTACTTGCCCCAGATCATAAGAGCCAGAGCCTGGACTTGAGCAAGTCAAGCCTGCATATTACGGCAGATGGAAAGCTGTGCAGTCTGCGTGTTCAAAGAGCATTTGCAAAAGGCAGCCAAGACAGGTGGGGCCGGAAGTCTGTTCAGAAGAATGTGAAATCTCGGCTCCTGGAGGCTGTTAGGGCTGTGTCCTCTCTGGATCTGTGTTGTTTATAAAGGACTGCCATGTGGTGGCACGTGCGAAGCCTGTCATGTTCCACAGGCTCTGAAAGTAGTTTGCCTTGGAGAGGGGAAAGACCCCCTATGGAAGGCTGTCTGCTGAGCACATTCCAATCAAAGGGGGAATTTCTCGGTTTCCTTAGGAACAGTTCAGCATCAGCGGAGATGCGGCGGCGGCTCCTGAGCCTTGCAGAGAGCCACAACACTAACAGAACTGCATTTGTCTCCTCTTGCTCTTCCAACTCTAAATAATATCTTAGCGTTTCATGCCAAATGGGATGAAATTGCCAGGGTTTTTCATTACAGAAAACATAAATTGCTGAAGGCAAATATACTGCCAGTGGAGCTGGCAACATGAGAATCATGCATTTGAGTCACAAACAAGTAGTAAAACACATGCATTTATGCAGCTGCTAATCTCAAGAAGCACCAACAGATGGGAAAACTGGAACAGCCTCTGCCTGGAACGTTTGTCTCCACGTTCCCAATACTGCTGGGCAACCCAGGGAGACCAGCCACGTGGGGAGGTTGAAACAATATTGGGGCCCGCCAAGCTGCCACAGCCTGGCACAGTCATTTCTTGGTGAAGTTTCAGGTCAGGAGCTCTGTAACCTGTTAAAGCACAATCGATCTAGAATCCGAGGCTTTAAAAATGAATTGCAATGTAAGTGCTGTGCTAAAACCTTGTACTTATTTGGTTTTCTGCGAGTAAACTTGACATGTGATGTATTTAAAACAAGAAGAATGATGCCTTAGGCATGATTGGTCCGTGAATAATAGGAAACCAGTTTCATCTGTCATTTTTTAACAAATGCCATTCACTGTTATTAATACCCAGAGTGGAATAAATGAATAATGGCTAGGCCTGGGGATATAGATCAAAATTCAGTTCTATGGCTAAGTAGTACTGAAAGTGGGTATTACAGAGATTCAGGGAAGAAAACAACCAACCACAAATCAGATTTTTGAAGTTGCTTTCATTTAGAAAATGAGAATAAAAATAGTATATTGGCTATGAAATATTCTGGTATATAGATTTATGTAATAAATTCTACCTGTAATTGATTGAGTTGATTCCATTCTGTAGGACAACTGAATGCAGGTTTAAAACAGTGCTACTGAAGTGAAGGATGTGCTTTGTAAGCTGGTTTGCCCTGTGAGGTTGTCCGTCTAACCCAGATAACACGAGTCACTCTCCCTGTACATGTGTCTGTGACTGAACTGATTTCATGGTGTAGGAATCGTCTGTTCATATGTGATTCTCCTGCCTGGCTATGAGCCCGCAGGCCAGGTCCCACCTGTGCACTGCTGCGTCCCAAGCATGCACCACACAGCACCGATTCTCAGGTCCTCATCCTCAAGGGCTGGTCGAGTACGAGTAGTCGGTGAAGCTTCACGTCCTCACTACCTGCCAGCAGGTACGTGGTGGCCCCTTTACCCGTAACTGGGAGGACAGCGGTCACCACAGTTGCTGGAGCTGCTCTGCCACGTCCTCAGATTATCCCTCTAAACATCTTTCCCGGGACATTCACTGTGAGGTGAAATCATACCTGTGGAAATCATTGTTGAAATGATCGCTTTGAAAGGAGTTTCCATCATCGCTGAGAGTCTTCGTTGAGGAGGGCAGAGGTGTTGAGTTCCTCAGCAGTTTCAAGCTGTGGCATATTCTTCAGGATTTCTTGACAAGCCCACTCAGGGCAGAGCCTCCGTTGAACAGCCAGGTGGGAGGCTGGGAGTCCTTCTTCCACACAGTCCTCCCCACACTGTCCTCCACACAGTCCTCCACCCCCCTGCAAACTCCCACCCGGCAGTTCACAGAGAGGCCTCATCTCCCAAACACAGACGCCCGTCTGGGATTTGGCCACAGCAGGAGGACGCAGCGGGGTGGCTCTTCCATGGAGGCCACTGGAATCCACTCGTACTCAGTCTTGGTGAGCTTGGCAGGTCTCTTTTCCAAGCTCAGATTTTGATGCCAGAAAAGGAGTGGCTTAAAGAGAAAGAGAATTGGGAATGGGCAGTTGAGCACCCAAAAGAGGCATTGAGAGGCCAGTCGGAACGGTGCCTGGCCCACGTTTCATCTTCCCTTTATTTTTGCAAAGCCTGGTCCTAAGCAGCTCCACAGGTAGCCCGAGGTGGGCTGCAGCTGCCCAGGCCAAGAGGTGAGCAGTAAATGCTGACACGCCACACAGGAGAAAACAGGGGTTTGGAGCCAGAGAGAAATTGAGGATGCAGGTTCTCATCCATGCTGCCACGGAGTAGTTGTGGGATTTTAATTCTACAACATCTCCAAAGCTCCTCCTCTGCACGATGGGCATGACGACGTTTTATCTTCTGCATTCAGATGCTGTGTGTTCCCTCCTCTCAGGCAGCTGCAGTCAGTGACTATGATGTCCAGAGATCACCCCAGGCTGACTCTTGTCCTGCAGATAGTGGGGCATGCAGGGGGCATCAAAGGGGACCTGGATTCAGGGTGGGTAAGCAAATGCAGGCATGTCATCCCCACAGCTACCATTTCAGATCTTTTTTCAGAAACTGATTACAGGAAGACACTGGATAGAACCCCACAGACTCAACTCGCATTCAGCTTAAATAATCCGCACTGTTACCTTCTGCACATGGTCCAACTTCTTTAAGGAAGCAAGGTGTCACCCTGTTCAGATTCTTCCTCCAGAGTTGCTTTTCTAGATGCCCAAGAAAATATGTCCTCCTCTGTGTTACCTGTGGACTGTAAAAGCCTGGGAAACAACATTCCATGCTGAAGTTTGAGCTGCTCGAGAATGCGACTAGTGTGCTTCTGATGCGTGGAGTTGGAGTTCGTGGAAAAAATGGGACCGTCAGCTCTGAGGGCAGCATGTCTTCCTCACTGTCTGTGAGTCTCCTGCAAGAGGCACCATGCGTGGATGGCACCGGTGACTGGCGGAGTGGATGAGCGAGGGACTGTTGTTCTGTGGGTGTCTTTCTAGATCGCAGTGGTGCCATTATCTGTGTGAGGGAACAGCAGTCACTCGGGGCTGACCCACGTTAGAGGAAGAAGGAAGGAAGCTGTACGTCTTTACCACCACCCTTTTCATTCCAGGCCATCTCATTCCAAAAAGGAAGACAATTCAGATACTGTCTTTTCCAAAGACTGTTGGATGCCAAGTACTTTTTATAATGTTTTATACTTAGGCATACAGGTTGGTGGGAGAAAATTTGGAAAGCACAAAAAATTTAAAGAGAAAATAAAACACGGCCATAATTCCGCTCATCAGAGCCCATCGCTGTGAGCATCTTGGTTAATTGCCAGCAGACATTTTCCAAAGCAAACTCAGATCACAAACCGCATCGAGTTTGAGTATACCAATTCTCACGTAACGTTACGATGGGAATTTCAATAACACTTAGAAGCTTTCTAACATTCTACATGATAATTGCACCATAATTTACTTAAGCTTTCTGCTTTAATTGGGCATTCCAAGATTAAGGCATATCAATTTTTTTTTTTAAGATGGAGTCTCACTCTGTCTCCCAGGCTGGAGTGCAGTGGCACAATCTTGGCTCACTGCAACCTCCACCTCTCAGGTTCAAGCAGTTCTCCTGCCTCAGCCTCCCGAGTAGCTGGGATTACAGGCACCTGCCACCGCACCCGGCTATTTTTTTTGCATTTTTAGTAGACAGGGTTTCACTATGTTGGCCAGGCTGGTCTTGAACTCCTGACCTTGTGATCCACCTGCCTCAGCCTCCCAAAGTGCTGAGATTACAGGCATGAGCCACTGCGCCCGGCTTCATTTTTTTTGAAGTAAAATAAATGGGCATCACAACTTACCCTGAAGTCATTTGCACAATACCCAGAACAAGTGTCAGCAATAATTAGAGCTGTGATTGCTCCTGCCACATCGAAGCACCTTACGTGCGGGGTTGAAAAGGCGCCTGTGGAGAAGGAACAGAAGCCAATCTCAGGCATCCATCAGGTGCAGAAAATTCAGACAATACGTCAGCTAAAGAAGTTAAGAGCGTTTCAAAGTGAATATTTTTTTATGTTAAAATGCCTGAAAAAGTTCTATCCAGAAAGCATGTTGTGTGACAAAGACACTGAGAGAGGGTGATGGGAGAGTCCTGTTCTGTGTTCGTGTGGAAAGACAGTGATTCCAGAGAGGTCCACAGAGGTGGCGCAGCCCTGGGCCACAGTCGGCTCAGTAGGTAAAGGTGAAATGGGCCCTCGGTTAATCACTTTTGTTCTTCCTCCCTTATTGGTGGCCTCAGCCCTGGCTGTGGATTGATTCACCTGTGGCACTGTCAAATGAACTGACCTGGGCCCCACACCAGAACAAATGAGCAGAATCTCTGGGCTGGGGCATGAGGCCTGTGTCCTCCTAAAAGGTCCCCAGGGTTAGGGAGGCAAGATTTAGCCAATGAAATTGAGAACACATGGACACAGGAAGGGGAACATCACACACCGGGGACGGTTGTGGGGTGGGGGGACGGGGGAGGGATAGCATTAGGAGATATATCTAATGCTAAATGATGAGTTAATGGGTGCAGCACACCAACATGGCACATGTATACATATGTAACAAACCTGCACATTGTGCACATGTACCCTAAAACTTAAAGTATAATAATAATAAAATTTAAAAAAATAAAATAAAATAAATAAAAATAAACTGGAAACCAAAAAAAAAAAAAAACCCAAAAATAAAATCACTTTTCATGAACAGAGCAAAAGAAAAAAAAAAAAATCCAGGACGCCCAGTTAGGTTTGCATTTCACAAAAACATTTGATGTTGCATGAAATATGTGACAAAAATGCTCGCTGTTTCTCTGAAATTCACATGTAACTGGCGTCCCAGGTTGCCTGGCAGCCCTGCCCAGGAACTGCCGATGCTGTGAGCAAGAGAAACAGTAAGGCTGCTTTCAGGCCGCTGCTCCTGACCCCGGAGGCTTCGGGCCGCTCCCCCTGACCCCGGAGGCTTCGGGCTGCTCCCCCTGACCTCGGAGGCTTCCGGCTGCTCCCCCTGATCTCAGAGGCTGTTTCAGAAAGTGAGCACGAGGAGCAATAGCCTGAGATTTGAAGGCCACATTTTTCTAAGCTTTGTAAAATGCCCTTCACTCTGTCTTTAAAGTAGTGTTTCCTGGGTAAGCATGGTGGACATATCTTTAAGGTGTCTTTAGTATAAAACTTTATTAAGTATAGATGGTAGTGCAGGGGACCTAACGCCGCATGTATTTGGAATTTAGATCTGAAACAGGTTGTAGAAAATATAAGTAGGTGTCACTTTTCATGCGAACAATGTTCAAGTTTCACCACAGGCAGATACGATTTCCTCTTGAAGTTAGCAGATATTTAAATAAGAAATAGTGTGCCTTTCTACTTCAGCACTTTTTAATTTTTTTTCCGAGTCCAGAAAAAATGCAAAGTTAAGTGTACGTTGCTGTTAGTCATAACTGAATTCCTTCGGAAGATGATGTCGTAGTTTATCGGAAGGCATGGTGGTGTTTAAGCTGGTAAGGCCTGCGGAGCTCCGGAGCGGGACGCGAGGGGGTGACGAGTGCACCTGGTGACTGGAGCCGGGCTCCGCTGTCGTGCGCCTTTGCAGCCATCTGTTCTGACAGAGGCACTGATTGTCATTCTTAGTTGAGTGGGGTTGCTTCATTAGTGACTTTGAGACTTTCTCTTGGCCTGATTTAAGTGACATTTAACCACTGGTAAAAATTCTGCAGACTTTAGGGGCAGCTTCTGTGGAGACTTGATCCTCGGTCCAAAATAAAATTACGATCATTTCTATGGTTTTCAAAGAAAAGCCATTAGTAATCATTACGGCAGTGGCTGAGCGCGGCTGGTGCACAGCTGCGAGTGAAATGGAGGAGGAAGCCAGCATTAAAACCAATCAATGTCATTGTCCTAACGGAGCAGAAATGAATCCCTAATTTAAACAGCCTTCAAATCCTGTCATTAGGGAAGCGGCTCAAATGTAGGCTCGAGCGTGCTTTCTGTAAAAGTAAACTTTTCAAGAGTTAGAAGAATCTAGAAATGGGGCAAGCTCAGATGGCTGAACTCTGCACTGACTCTCAGAGGGCTGCTTCTGCTGAGCGTTCCCTGTGCGTTCCGGAAGCAGCTCCTGTGGGCGACACCCGATGGGGACCGCGCTTCGCTCCGCAAACATTGTCACTGCGCCTGCGCGGTGACTCCAAGAGCCGAGGCCCACGCCTGTCCCCTCCCCCCACGAAGAGGTGCCGTGGAGCACGTGACCTGACCCCTCCTCACAGCCGGAGGCAGAGGGGCCGGGATGGACCCCCCGCCTCCCTGACTTCCAACCAGGCACCTTCCCCGGCTCCATGCTCATGGCGACGCAGCCGATTTTGCGTGAAGACCTGTGTGCTACCCATGGGAGGCCAATAAGGAGAAGGGCTGTGTACGACCACGGAGAGCTGCGGGACAGTAGGCCGGAGAAAAACAGGAAGAACTGAAAGACAGGCACCTCCACACCTTTCCACACATCTTCAGAGGTACATGTCAACCCGCCCTCCACCCTCCACTGCCATCCCACCTACGCATAGGGAACAGGTAGCATTCCTTGGGGAGGATGGAAACCGAGTTCTCACCCAGGCGAGAGAAAATGCCAGGATCTCAGGGGCAGGCTGCACAGAGATTCAGCCTCAAGGGAAGTCCAGGAGGATCTGGGCAGGGCACAAGGTGACAACGAGCTCAAGCTGTGCAGGTAGAACCAGGCGGATCCGTGTAGCAAGAACTCGGGGAGAAGAGGCAGTGCCCTAGGAACCCAGATGGCTGCCTTCATCTCCGCAGCTCTGAGACGCGCCTCCATGGATGGAGCGCATAGAGGGCTGCTTTCATCTCCGCAGCTCTGAGACACGCCTCTGTGGACGGAGGGCACAGACGGCTGCCTCCATCTCCGTGGCTTTCAGACACGCCTCTGTGGACCCAGCGTGTAGACATCTGCCTCCATCTCCGCAGCTCTGAGACGTGCCTCTGTGGACCGAGCGCATAGACCGCTGCCTCCATCTCCCTGGCTTTCAGACACGCCTCTGCGAGCCCAGTGCATCCCTGGATGAGAATGAAGCAACGGAATGGGACAGTTAGAGGGACGGACCCCAGGGAAGACCCAGAGACACACCTGAACGTGTGTGGGAGCCGCGAGGGTCCTGGTGAAGTTTCCCAGATTCTGAACGTTGGTTTAATGGTGAAGGCTTCACATTCTAATCCTCCTGTAAGCAAAGGTGTCCATCAGCTAGGAAAACGTCCTATCGGCAATGAAAAGAAGTAAGTGTGCTTTTCAGAAATGGAAGGGAAGCAAGCCCACTGCCTGCTGCCATCTCCCTGGGCAGCGGCTGGCTCCTGTAGAGAAGCTGGGGCGGGCGGTGGGCACGTCAGGGGTAGATGCGGAAGGGGTGGACGCGGCACGACCCTGCTTCTTACCCTGATTCTTCCTAGGCAGTGCTGACAGCATCTGTTTTATGGTTTGGGGTTTTGTGTCCATTTCATTTCGAAAAAGGCCTGTACTATAAAAAGTGCAGTGTGGACTCACAAGACTGGTGGGAACGTGTTGTATCTCCTGACCACGGAGGGGCTGGCCTGCCATGCCAGGAGGACGCAGGGCCCCTGCCCTCCCATTCTGCATCGGGGGGGGCAGTAGGATGAACCCATAAACACATAACAAACACTCTGCAGGGCAGGAAAGGCTGCAGGGCCCACACACAGTGGACGAAAGTGGGTCATGTCCTTCTCTTGGTGTTTATGAGGTGATAATACTATTGTTTCCTTTTCCATCAAGAAATCCAGTCTTTTCTTATGAGCAATTTCCCTTCTCATGTGTGAACCTGGTTTTTCCTTCTAATACTTTGAAGGCTTAACTGCTTCCTTTTGCTTCCGCATTAGCATGATTTGGAGACAACTTCCCCCTGAGAAGACGCAATTGTGCTTTGAGTTTAAAAACCTGTCAATTTAAAGTGTGCATTTCCTCCTCTTTCTTCCCAAACCTTGCAGTTGGCATTCACGGGGCAGGTCTTTAAGAAATGAGGGGCCACTTGGGCAGGTGCGGTGCCTCACGCCTTAATCCCAGCACTTTGGGAGGCCAAGGTGGGTGGATCACGAGGTCAGGAGTTTGAGACAAGCCTGGCCAACATGATGAAACCCCGTCTCTACTAAAAATACAAAAATTAGCCGAGCGTGGTGTCAGGCGCCTGTAGTCTCACCTATTGGGCGTCTGAGGCAGGAGAATTGCTTGATCCCGGGAGGTGGAGGTTACAGTGAGCTGAGATTGTGCCATTGCACTCCAGCCTGGGCAACAGACCCAGACTCCATCTAAAAAAAAAAGGAAAGAAAAGAAAAGAAACGAGGTGCCACTCAATGCAGCCTCCCCCAAACAGACACCACCACACCACAGAGCACACAGAGCTCCAGCCACGGGGTTGAGGCTCAGCTTCACGGAGATCTAACTCTTCTGTGGCGGCAGAGAACAAACTTAACTTCCCCAGGCGTCAATTTCTGCATCCACAGAACTAGAGATGATCACTCCTGGCGTAATGACAGAGTGGTAGGGTGTTAGAGTGAGGTCCCGAGATATGCCTGTTGGCAAATGTACCTTTAAATCCTCATACGTGCCATTTTTCTTCATCAATTCTCCATAATGAGGCATTGCCAGGACCGACACCAGGTGGCAGCTCAGCCCCTGGCGGTCTTGGTGCCCTCCCTTCCCTGCCAAGATCAGACGGGGGCCAGCGTCAAGGTCAATGGAGTCCTGTGGGTTCATCGTGTCGTCTTCCAGGCAAGTTGCCTGCTCGTGTGGTGGCCGTGCTGGGTCTGAACCTGTGGCCTTCCCATTGCAGGAGAAGCGACACCAGACAGCCAGTGCCAGCGTGCCAGGGCTGGCTCAGATGCCCGGCAGCTGTGGGGGAAGCATTGTCTCCACTTCCAGGACAAGGAGAGGCAGCCGAGGACGTTTACTGTCCCGTGTTACCCGGCCACACACCCCAGGGCCCTTTCTCTTCCCCTTCTGCTGTGCTGCTCTGAGCCGGAGACTGAGCCGGCCAGGGCAGCCGAGGCCAAGAGTGGCGCTGCTGAGGGGCCGCCATCATGAGGGGTCAGAATGTGGTGGGTGAGCCAGGACTGCGCTGGCCCGGCGAGGTCGGTGTGCTGAGACCACAGTGTGCTCGGGTCACAGTGGTGATTGAAACGTTTGCCTCTGCACCTACTGGGAAGCCTCTTCCTGGAGGACCCTGGCTTTGATCTGTGGTTGTGCTGACGTGGACATCTTTGCCTCGCAGGATGCAGATTGCAGACGCTCATCGTCTCGCAGGCAGCTCCAGCTCGAGTGGTGGCCGTGCTGGGTCTGTGCCCGGGGCCTTCCCCCGTATGCTTTCGCTTTCTAGTGTCTGCGATGACGTGCGATTCACTAATCACCCGGACTCAGCGCATCTCTATGTTAAATAGCGCGTGTCCATCTGCAAAGCACACGACAGCCCCTGCGGCCACTGGGTGCCGGCGCCCAGCCTGTCCCGAGAGCCTCTGACAGCCAAGGATTGGCCCAGGTGTGGCTGATGGATGAAACAAGACTGTGAGTATTCCCAGGCAGTGACGTGGGGCCCCCGGCACGGTTCTCCTTCGAGTGCCCAGAAACACAAGCCTGCCTGATACATAGAGAATGTAAAACGCCCACTGGCTTCCCTGAAAGTCAGGTTTCTTCTTGCAAGTAAGTCTACCCTAAGGCTATATGGTCCATCGGTCACTCACCTGCCCACAATCATTTCTTTCCTCTCTTCTGCCTCTTCATTGGCAGAGTGTTCTGCCTCCCTCCATCATCACTCAGGAGAGCCCTGTTGCAGGTCAGTGCAGAATCTCTACATGAGACATTGCGGTGTCGGTGGAAGCATCACAGGGCCTCGTGGGGGCGCCGAGAGGAGTGCATGGGGGTCGGAACCTGCAGGTCTGTCTGCGCCTCTGTCCTCTGAGTATGCGCTCTGCCTCTCTGGTGCTGATTTCCTCACTTTCTGGAAGGTGTTGATGATGCAGCCACCTGGGCCCGGGCCTCTGAGGACCGGTTCTGGGAAGCATCCTGCTTCCTTCCCTTCTCAAGGCGCACTGCCCGAGTCTCCCTTCCAGGAAGTGTGAGCAGCTTGTGACATTGAGACGACTCATCACTGAGCAAAGGAAGGCAAACGTGGCGCACCCAGCACAGTGATCACGGCGCCCTATGTTTGATTAAGGGCCATCACAGACCCTCTCAGATCCACCCAGACCCCTCTGGGCCACAGGGGAGCAGGACAGCCATTTCTCTGAAGCTCAAGGGTGATCAGAGATGTTAGAAAGTGCGCCTGTGTTGTGTGTTCACTCGGGACAGGTCCACGCTCTCCAGGCGGCACCCGAGGCACCGCACACGCCATCCGCACGTTCGCTGCTGTGCCCAGAGGTGTGCGTTGCTGGAGGAGGGTTGGGTGTTGACTCCAAGGAAGCACCAGGGCACAGAATAGCCAGACGACCTTGCTACAGCTCCCCCAAGATGGTTTACGGGGTCTCCAGTCACACGTTGTGGAGTATGGTTTACATGGTCTCCAGTCACACGTTATGGAATATGGTTTACGGGGTCTCCAGGTCACACGTTATGGAGCACTGCCTTCATCAAGCTCCAGCAGATGAGAAAGGTGACTCCTAAAGTACGTTCTGCCAGAGGGACCCTAAGCAAGGGGTCTGAGTGAGGAAGCCCCACCCGGAGTTGCCGCGGTGAAAGACTGTTTCTCCAGTGAAGACAGATGTGCATTCCCACGCGTGAATGGATGATTCCCAAGACTTCTCAGTCAAAGGCACGTTTTGTTTTGGCGATGGAAATGTGAGGTCAGAGGTCGGCGCTGTCAGTTTCACAGCACCGATCAGCCTCACACATGGGATGGGATAGCGTCCAGCCTCTCCCTGGGAGGTATTCAGTTTGGACCATGGGAAGTAAAGAGGCTAGGTGGAGGAAGCTTACGGTCACGTGATTTCAGAACGTCTCAGAGCGCAGAGAGAGCTGTAGTTGTATGACAGCAGCCAACGTTGGCTTCCTAGGCCAGGCGGCCCATCTTTCCAATGACTGGTGGAGCAAATGGTTCTCCTCCCTTATACGAGGAGGCCAGGAGAGAGAGATCTACCAGAAGAAGGAGGATTTCCTTGTCTCTTTAAGCATAGATAAGGGCATTTCTGAGGTCGCTGAGATGGTAATTAGCATTTCTCCCATGCTGTCCCAGATGCGGAAGATGTAAGGAAGAACATGGCTCTACCTATGGCCTGTCCAGGCGAACAGGGTTCTTGCCTAGTGAGGGTTCTGAACTGGGGGTGGGAACGTGGTAGAAGTACGGTAGTCCCCGCTGTCCACGGGGACATGTTCCAAGACCCCTAGCAGATGCCTGAAACCTCAGCCAGTACCAACACTTGTAGGTAGATTTTTCCTGTTGTCGACAAAAAGAGTTGAACTCTGTAAAGTATTTTGAAGGGGTTTATTCTGAGCCAAAGATGAATGACCCACAGCCCGTGGCACAGCCCTCAGGAGATCCTGAGAACATGTGTCCAGTGTGGTCAAGATACAGCTTTTGGTTTTATACACTTTAGGGAGACATAAGCCATTGGTCACTACCTGTAGATGTACCTTGGTTGGGTCTGGAAAGGCAGGACAACTGGAAGTGAGGCCTCCCAAGTCATTATGGAGTCAAACATTTTCCGATTGGCCATTGGTTGAAAGAGTTAAATTATTGTCTGAAGACCTAGAATTCATAGAAAGCGATGTCTGGGTGAAGATAAGGGGTTGTGGAGATGCAGTTCCCACCGTGCAGAGGAAGCCTCCAGGCAGCAGGCTGCAAAGAGGATGGATGGTAAGTGTTTCTTATCAGAGTCAATTCTCTCCTGGATCTGGGAAAAGGAAGGAAAAAGAAGGGAATTCTCTTCAGAATGTAGATTTTCCTGCACTATTTCAAGATACGGCAAAATAAATAAAAAAAAAAAAATTACACATTCGGGATGGAAATATTTTTATTTTGTTCTTTATCTGTCACGTGATGTGCCCGAGTCAGGTTGGAAAGTGAGCCATGTTATGTAGGGTAAAGAAAACCCCTCTAATGAGACTCCGTGGTTTGTAGGGCATGACTCCCCAGGCCCCTTGGATGGGAATTTGGGCAAGAGCAGAAGAAAGCCAGAGTGCAGAGCTCACTGTGTCTGTGCAGCCGTGATAAAGCTCAGCACATACGTTAAGCACAGTAAGAGAGTAACCTGAATAACTGTAATGAAATCGGCATTTATAACAATCTACTTTAATAAAACGTATGTGAATGTGGTCTCTGTTTCTCTCTCAAAGCAGCTTATTTCATACCTCAGTGACTGAAGCCACAGGAAGAGAACCTCCAAGAAGGGGGTGCTGCCCTGTACAAAATGTAGGCTGAAAATACAAAGCCTCGTTAGATAAGGAAGGATGGTACCCACAGTTATACTGACACACATGCTGCATTAAGCTCTCCCAGCTAGAAGGCCACACCGCACTCGGAAACCTTCCATGCATGTACCCTCAGCCCATGCTGGATTGTTAACTTTGAACGGTGTCACCTGAGCCACACAGCTTCCAGACCTCCTGTTCTCTCATCTGATAAACAGCAAGGGCGGGTGGGAGGAGATCAGGCAAGGAAGCGTTTGTACTCCTGCAATTCAAGGCTGACCTTCAAACGTCCCCACTCCTCATTCTTGGAGTGCTGTTCTCAAGATAATTAGGTGTGTTCCTCCAGCAAATCGCAGGCTTCCGATACCAAGCTTGTGCTCTGTGTGAAGCACGTGGCTTTGCTAAACTCCATGCCTGTTGCTGCTGGTGTTGTTAGCGGAGTGCTCATGCTTGTCATTGCAACTGGGTGATGTTGGCCCATCCTTCAAGTCCGCCCTGTGAGAGCCCCTGCCTTGTCTCTGTGTGCATGTGTGCTGAAAGTCTGGTGTAAGGAGGGCTGAGGTTGAAGGGCCCATTGTTTTAGTTCATCCCCAAATTCCTTTCTCACACAGCTGGACGCTCTGTTCTCACATTACTCACACATATGACGATGGTCTCCATGGAAACTGTAGTTAATTAGAGCTGTCCATCATATTTCTACATGAATGAGACCATTCCAGTCTGTGGTTTTATGTTATACTTAATGTGGACATTTGGCAGATGTATTTCATTAGCTGAAAAACGCAGCTTAAACTATGCAAAAAGTGCTGTTAGCCTTGAAGAAATGGGGTTATGTTAAATCATTTGAGCTGTCTTGTAAGATACTTAACTTAATTCAGATAGCTATTTCTTATACATGTGTGTTTTTTTAAAAGCTGTAACTGGGAGATCCCATGAAATGAACTCTTAGTTCACATTTACCTGAGAGGCGACCGTATCCTCTTCATCAGCATCTCACATTCCAAATCTGTCATCTTCCTTTCCCAAACCTCTACGAACTTATTGAAAATGGCAGATGCCGATTTGTTGAATCAGAGATGGTGATTGCAGTGTAAGTGGCTCCAGCATCACACTCTGAAATAAATCCGTTTGCAGACTACAGCCTGGCTAACTGCATCTAACACTTGGGTGGGGGGGGTGGGGGCAAATGTGAGATGTGCCTCAAAGCCTGTCCATGAATATTGGAAACCCACATATGTGTGTGAATACATGCCTAGAGTCTGAACATGCAATCATATTTATATTTGGGGCATATATGCCAAAATGGTGACAAAGATGTGTGTACGCACATGTGTCATCATTCTGATACCCCATAAATAACATGTTTACATGCACATGTAACGTGGTGCCAAATTCTCCCTTATCTGATGCTCCCTGCCCCCCTCCTCAGGCCACTCCCCACACCACTCACTGTGGCTGGTGTCGGGCAGAGCCTCCCTGAGATCCAGCTGTGTCTACACTGCCTCTGCAGCCAGGTAGAAACCAAGGCAGCCTGGAGAGTCGGCACCTGGTTTCCTGGGCAGAGCCTCCCTGAGATCCAGCTGTGTCTGCACTGCCTCTGCAGCCAGGTAGAAACCAAGGCAGCCTGGAGAGTCGGCACCTGGTTTCCTGGGCAGAGCCTCCCTGAGATCCAGCTGTGTCTGCACTGCCTCTGCAGCCTGGTAGAAACCAAGGCAGCCTGGAGAGTCGGCACCTGGTTTCCTGGGCAGAGCCCACTGGGAGGAGAGCTACGGGATGATGCTCAGTCCAGCTCCTCAGGGACCAGTTAAATCAAGTGACAAGCTTGTCTGTCTCCCCAGTTCCCTGTTGCCCCACACATGGAGGGAAGACAGTGCTCAGTGACCCCAAGACCTTTTACAGCCACATGCTGATGTCATTCTAAGAAAGTGATGTCTGCTTTTGTGTTAGCACAGATCGAACAATGGAAAATCAATGCCAGTGACCTGGGTGATCTCCCAACAGAGGGAAATTAAATCAGCGTTTTGGTCAAAGTGGACCTAATATGAACTAATATTAAGCACTAAGATCACAAATGCAGGCTTTGAACATTGCAAAATGAGGCTTCGAATGGCATGAAGCTTTCTAGACCGGAAGGAAAGTCTTTCTCATGGGCGATGCAGGGCCCTCATGGGACTCACCCAGCTGGAAGGAACCGGGGAAAATTAGAGTGGACTGATTTTACTCAAGTCTGTTCCAATGCAAATAAGGCCTAATAAATTTGAAGTTAGGCCAGAGTTAAAGCTGAGAATCATTGGGACTCACTGCCTATGTCCGTGTCTAGGTGGGAGAAATACGTGCATCTGTGGTCACAATGCTGCTTTACAGAAAACACTGGTTGTTCCTGAGGTTATTGGCACAAAATGCTGGGCTCTGAGCGGTGACGTTTGAAGAAATACAAAGGTGTCTGTCATGTTTGAACTGTTGAGTGTGGAGGGTTTTGAAGATGTGCAGGGAATGACTGCAGTCTACACCAGAAACGCATTAAAGAGTGACTTTGTTTCTGTCTTTGCAGAGGAAGAAGCTGGAGACTTGGTCCAGCCGGGCATCAGCTTTCCGGGGCCGGCAGAGGAGGATCTAGGTAGAGTACAGACGTCAGCCCCGCTCTGGCGGGGCCCGGACAGAACCGGGCATGCTCCGGGCACCTCCCATCATGCGGACCGTCCCACAAACACACGTTAGCATGTTTAGAAAGGGAGCTAAGAAGAACTAAGTACAATGCGGCACTTTTTTCCAAAAATAATAGTTTTTAAGCATTACGGAAGTGCTAGGTGAGGAAGGGCTGCTCCTGGCCCTCAGGAACTGAGGCAGCCGTTCACATAAACGATGCATGTCTCCAGAGGTGAAGGACCCCTCCTTCCCTTGCTCCTCTGTGTCTAAACATATTCTAAGCAAACTCAGGAAGCAGGGTGTTCCCGCATTTGCATTTTTCATGTAGACCTTCCTTGGCAGGAAGCAGCTCATCTCTCCAGCTGGCCCCACACACTGGGGTCTGGATGCTGAGTATGACTGTGCGCTTCCTTCCAAGGGCCCTGCGAGAGGCTGCCACGACACACTTTCCCCGATGCTGGTTCAAATCACGTGGAAATTTCATTTCTGAGCTGCCACCAGCACAGCAAAGCTGGTGCCATATTTGCCATCAGTCTTTTGACATGGAGCTATGCTTACAAGAACAAGGCCCAATGCTTCTGTTAAAGATGTGAAATGTTGAATACATCTGACATCAAACTGTTGAATAAAATCAACGTCAAACCACAGCTGAAGACGGAAGCCCCATCAGTGGCTCTGTCTGTGGTTATTCTCTAACCTAAAAGAGGTTTGTTGCTGTCTGTGGTTATTCTCTAACCTAAAAGATTGTCAGCCTCTTTCTCAAGCCACTGACAGCTGTCTGCAGTGACAGCACTCAGGGCTGGGTCTCGGATCATAAGTTCAATTTATATTTAAATGTACATTTTTAAAAACGTATTTCAGACTTTTAGCCAGTGCATCTATTGCTGGTTTGATTTGCCTAAAGAATAATATCGAAAATTGAAGGAGTCCACTTTGTATAAAGCTGTGATTTTTGTTAAAGAAAACTACAGCCAAAAAGTGTTTGCTTTTCAATATAAGATGATGGAAATGGGTAGAGTTCTAAAGGATGACCGTCCATTATCCACTGCAACTGAGTCCTAGATTTGTTGCTAACTGACGTTCTACACAGCCTTTCTTCACTCGGAAATAGACGAGTGAAAGTATTTCGACTTCTCATTAGGAAGGAACAGTGGCTATCATGTTTGAATAATTATGCATCTGTTTTTTTAAACCTCAGTCTGGCAATACTCCATCGCGATGAATCTTCACTACTCAGCCTGCCTGGGGAGGCTTCCAAATGCACGGGACTCATTTGACGTTTGTTTTCTTGAGGCTTTGGAGGTAGCTCAGCTGCCTTTGCACTGTCTCTGGACAATGTTAATGTCATAGTTGTGTCTATTCCAGTTCTTCTCCATAGCAGCGGCGCCCACGTGCCCCAGGGGCCTTCTCTGGGGCAGCAGGAGGTACCTGGGGTGGTTCTGCTTGGGCTCAGGCACAGTGAAAAGAACCTGGAGGCTGGAGCAGGGGGCACAGAACTGAAACAAGAGTGCAGGAGTCACTCTGGGGAGGCCAGCTTTGCCTGGATTCTGACCCTGGACTCCGTGGTTGAGAGTTTGTTTGTTCTGCAGC
Organism: Homo sapiens; assembly: GCF_000001405.40. Lineage (NCBI taxonomy): Eukaryota > Metazoa > Chordata > Mammalia > Primates > Hominidae > Homo > Homo sapiens. The sequence continues at coordinate 208,583 of NT_187565.1, forward strand.
CACACAAGTGAGCATCGAGGGATGAGGCTGGGGGGCGAAGGAGGCAGAATGTCACATGGGTGGCTTGGTGAAGGCTGGATTGTAGGGACAGAAAGCATTTTTTCATCTTAGCCCTTTGTAAGTAAGTTCAACAGCATTAAATGCATTCATGTTGCTGTATAGCCGTCAGCACCTCTGTCTCTAGAACTTTTTCCTCTTCTGCAAGTAAAACTCTGTCCCCATGAAACACTCAGTCCCTTTCCCCTCCCCAGCCCTGGAACCCCCATTCTGCTTTCTGTCTCTGAAACTGACTCCTCCAGGGCCCTCCTAGAAGTGGAACCACACAGGATTTGTTGTTTTGTGACTGCTCATTTCACATGGGGTAATGTCTTCTTGTTACTGCATGTATCAATGTGTCACACGCCCTTTCTGTTGAAGGCTGAGCCACACTGCACTTTGTGGATGGACCACACTGGTTTCCATTCCTCCGTGGACAGACCCCGGGTCGCTTCTCCTTGGCCAGTGTGAATGGTACTGCTGTGAACACGGAGTGCAGCTCTCTCTCCACGTCACTGTTTTCGGTTCATTTGGGTAAATGTCCAGAAGTGGAATTGGTGGATCCCATGGTGAAGCGATGCTTCCTCGTTTTGAGGAACCTCCACACTGCTTAGGGACAGGGTGTGCTTTGCGAGCTGCCTCTACAGTCTTGCCATGGGGTGGGGGTTGGCCATTGTAAGAATGAGAAGGGTCAGATGTTAGAAGCTCTGGAAAGAAGGAAATGAGAGAATTTGGTGACGGTTGGCTGAGAGGACCCTCAAACACGTGCCTGGCTTTCCCCTCTTGGGGTGGTACGTGGGTGGAGGACTCTGGAGGGAGAGGGAGGAACTGCTGTAGCCATCTGGTGAGCCCAGGGACCTGAAGCAGCCAGGTGCAGGCACACGGTGACCTGGAGTCACAAGATTTGTGCAGAAGTGCACCTCGTGAGGAAGGTGGACGCATTGGTTCCAGGGAGGCCTTTTAGCCCATTCGTGCAAATATTAGGTCTTGACCCTGGTTCTATGTCAGTCAGGATCACTTGGGGAAAGTTTAAAAACATACCAGTGCCCAGGCCCCACCTGATGTATTTGTCTGAGAAAGGACTTGGCCATTGTCGTCTTTAAAAGTTCTTTACCTGATGCTTTTTTTTTTAATGGAAGAAACGCTTCTTGTTTTACTTTAAAAATATTTTTTCTAGCTTTATTAAGTTATATTCACGGATATAAATTGTGTGTATAGTATACAACGTGATGTTTTGATACAGGTATACGTTGTGAGATAAGTCAACAAAGCTAGTTAACATCTTGCCACCTCACATCCTTATCATCACCTTGTGCTTTTAAGAACATTTAAGATCTCATCTCTTAGCAGTTTTCAAGTAAACAAACCATTTAACTGTGGCCACCACGTGGTACCATAGACCTCGTCACTTACTCCTCTTGTCTAACTGAAATGCTGCACCCTTCCGCCAACATCCTCCCAGTTCCCCCCAACCCTCTCTCTGTTGACCACTGTTCTACCCTCTGCTTCTGAGTTCTATGCTTTCAGATTCCACGTGTAAGTGAGGTCACGCGGCACCTGTCTTTCTGTGCCTGGCTTGTTCCACTTAGCATGATGTCCTCCAGGCTCATCTATGTTGTTGCAAATGCTAGGATTTCTCACTTTTTAAGACTGAGTAGGTATTCCACATTTTCTTTGTCTGTGCCTCTGCTGATGGGCTTGAGGTTGGTTCTGCGTGTTGGCTGTGGTGAACAGCATCTTAACGAACACGAGAGAGCAGATACCCCTTCCACACATCCATTTTATTCCCTTCAGAAAAATACCCAGAAGTGGGATTCCTGGATTATTCCTTTATCATTCTAATGTACCCCTAGGATTGAGAATCCTGATATAAAACATATGAAAGGATAATTAAGAGAAAAAGCAAAAAACACAAAAAGAAAGGAAGGAAGAAGGAAGGAAAGAGGGAGGGAAGGATATCTGAGTTATGTTCCCAACACTATCATAACAACATTGGGAGCAAATAGCATTATTTTAGACATTTGTTTTTCCAAATTGAGTGTTCCAATCTCCTCATCTTTAAATTGAGAGGGTTAAATGATGATTTTTAAGGGATCTTCCCAGTCACGAATTTATGGATCTATAATTCTACTGGGTCAAATTAAAATTAAAAACACTTCATAATGATCTTGATGCTATTATAGTGAATGAGTAACTATCATTTCCAAAATGCTGTGGGACATTTTACAGCACAGTATAGGTTAAAGTCATAAAGCAATGAAGTGACATTTGCTTCTGGTCCTATTTCAAAGCATCAATCTTTTTTTTCCAACTCCCCTCAGTCTTCAAAAGCTCCAAGGAAAGCTGAGTAGCATTGGCTGAAGAGCTTAAGATACCATTAGTGCCAGATGAATTAATAAAACCGCCCACACTTGTGTTATTAGCCATTACCTCTTAAGAGCATTTGCGTTCTCTGAAGCTCATAGAGTGTAATGTATGAAAAGTAATTTTATGATGGGGAAAATGGCTGTGAAATATAGGAGGATAAGGAAGTTTTCCATAAAATTAAAGTCACTGATAAAATGAATTAATGTAGCACATTCAAAACGAATACCTTGAAAGAGAAAAACCTCACTTTTTCCAGAAGAAATGTTTCTAGGGAAGACCTTCAGACACACTAGAATTAAATTGCTCTCTTAATAACTTTTGTAACATTGGCTCATTATGACGTTACTTCTAAGAATGGCATTTTTTCATTTTCCCGAATGTTATATTTAAATCAGCTGTAAAGAGTTGGTGATTTATTTGCATCTATGAAGAGTGCTATATTGACCCAAATTTTGCATTGATAAATGAATGCAAAATGAAATTTTAAAAAGTTGGCAGATTAAATTATCAAAGTATATTAAGCACATATTATATATGCAGCACAACACTGAGAAAATGTACACACTGTGTAATTTTGAAATACCTGAATATTAAAATAATACTTAGAGCCTTCCACCTGGCAGGCACATAGATTGTGAACATGTTTTTATATAATAGAACATCAGCTAGCATAGCTTTAATCATCTCCACAGCATTTAAGTGCACCAATGTCTCATTCTAATGTTAATACATATCTTGTCTCACAGGAATTCCCCTTGGGATGTTTATTTTTGTGTGTTCTTTCAAAAAACAAAAACCCAGCTCTACCTATACTTGTCATTTTATCGTCCATACTTATTTTCTTCAGGGAAATTTATAGAAATAGCGGAAGTGTATTACATTGTAGGTTCTTGGTCTCACTGACGTCAAGAATGAAGCTGTGGACCTTTTGGGTGAGTGTCCGGAGTTTGTTCCTTTTAATGTTCAGACGTTTTTGGAGTTTCTTCCTTCTGGTCGGTTTGTGGTCTCAATGGCCTCAGGAGTGAAGCTGCAGATCTTCGCGGTGAGTGTTGCAGCTCATAAAAGGAGTGCGGACCCAAAGAGTGAGCAACAGCAAGATTTAGTGCATACAGCGTAAAAATTAAGCATCCACACTGCCCAAGACGATCTCAGCAGGTTGCCAGTGCCGGCTCAGGCAGACTGCTTTTATTCCCTTATCTGGCCCCACCCACATCCTGCTGATTGGTCCATTTTACAGAGAGCTGATTGGTCTGTTTTACAAAGAGCTGATTGGTCTGTTTTGACAGGGTGCTGATTGGTGCATTTACAATCCCTGAGCTAGACAAAGAGTGCTGATTGGTGCATTTACAATCCTCTATCTAGACATAAAAGTTTTCCAAGTCCCCACTAGATGAGCTAGACACAGAGCATAGATTGGTGCATTTACAAACCTTGAGCTAGACACAGAGTGCTGATTGGTGCATTTACAATCCTCTAGCTAGACATAAAAGTTCTCCAAGTCCCCACCAGATTAGCTAGATACAGGGTGCTGATTGGTGCATCTACAAACCTTTTGCTAGACACAGAGTTCTCATTGGTGCATTTACAATCTCCTAGCTACACATAAAAGTTCTCCAAGTCCCCACCGGACTCAGGAGCCCAGCTGGCTTCACCTAGCGGATCCTGCGCTGGGGCCACGGGCAGAGCTGCCTGCCAGGCGCCTGCACTCCTCAGCCCTTGGAGGGTCAATGGGACCGGGCGCCGCGGAGCAGGGGGCAGCGTCCATCAGGGAGGCTTGGGCCGCGCGGGAGCCCACCGCGAGGGGGAGGCTCAGGCATGGCGGGCTGCAGGTCCCGAGCCCTGTCCCACGGGGAGGCAGCTGAGGCCCGGGGAGATTTGGCGTGCAGCGCCGGTGGGCCAGCACTGCTGGGGGACCCAGCACATCCTCCGCAGCTGCTGGCCCAGGTGCTGAGCCCTTCACTGCCCCGCTGGCGCTGGCCGGCCGCTCCAAGTGCGGGGCCGCGGAGCCCGCGCCCACCCAGAACTCGCGCTGGCCCATGAGCCCACACCTCTCCCTCCACGCCTCCCCGCAAGCAGAGGGAGCCGGCTCCGGCCTCGGCCAGCCCCCAGGGCAGTGGCTGGCTGAAGGGCTCCTCAAGTGCGGCCGGAGTGGGCGCCGAGGCGGAGGAGGCGCCGGGAGTGAGTGAGGGCTGCCAGCATGCTGTCACCTCTCAGAAGCAGTGATGTGCTGAGCTTCTGTCTAGAAAGAAGGTAGCAGTCCACCCTCCTGTCTCCCAGGCATTCGTTCACCCAGGTCCTCAGCCACCGAGTCTTCCTCCTTCACCCACGACCCTCCTTCACCCACCACCCTCCCTCCACCCACCACCCTCCCTCCCAGGCATCCTGTAGCCTCCACCACCACACTTCCTGGGAGGTTCAGGCTTCAGCCTTGACCTTCCTGCACTGCCCAATGGGAGCATCGTGACCACACATTTTAGGAGAAGGCTCCTTCCCCACTGTGACATCAAACACGTGGTCACATGAAAGGCCTAGTCTGTGGCACAGGAAAGGGGCCCTGAGGTGCAGGGGAGGGTCATTGTCAGTTAATCACATGAAAGCTCACCAGGGCACACTGCATTTTAACAACCCCGTTTTTAAATTTTATTTCCACACAAACACATCAGATACCTTTAAAGTTAGACACATCTAACATTTGTGGAACTTAGGATGCCAGGGCTTTTCATCTGAATTTCTGGGGTGCATTTACAGCTTTTCTCCTAAACATCACGCGTCCCATTCTGGCCTCCTGAAGGGCGGTGCCTGCTCCCGGGCTGCCCCCTGCCATACCCCGCAAACCCCCGCCACCCCCTGCAAACGCCCACCACCCCCCACCCCTCACCACCCCCCGCAAACCCCCGCAAACCCCCGCCACCCCCTGCAAACGCCCACCACCCCCCACCCCCCCACCCCTCACCACCCCCTGCAAACCCCCACCCCCCCCCGCAAACCCCCGCCACCCTCTGCAAACCCCCGCCACCCCCTGCAAACGCCCACCACCCCCCACCCCTCACCACCCCCTGCAAACCCCCGCCACCACGCGCACATCGCTGTTGATCATTGCTGCCTCCACGCGCGCCGACATCCATTCAAACAGCAATTGCTGGTGTTTTCTCCTCTGTGGGATGTGCCAGTAAGAATGACCTGGAAGCTCCCAGACATACGTAGCAGGCTCAACGTGGCGGGGGAGTTGGAAGGAAAAATGGAATCCACAACTGCTGCGCACAGGAGGGAAATGAACCCAGTGCCCGCAGGAGGCGCTGACGGCGTTCCCTAAAAACACCGAGCAGGCAAATGAGTGCGGACTAAGCGCCCGGGGAAGACGGGGAAGACGGGGCCAGGCTCGGGCTCCGGGGATTCGTAGGATCTCCAGAGGGGATCATTTGTAGTTAAGGATCTAATATTGCCACATTCTCAATGGTTTTCTGTTCTGCAGTTCTTTAGAGCACTGAGTTTTAAACCATGGGCTGCAACTCATTAATGACCCGTGAATTCAAGTTACTGGTCACTGCCAGCAAATTTTTAAATGGAAACAAAAATACAACAGAGAAGTATAGACTAGGCCGGGCACGGTGGCTCACGCCTGTAATCTCAGCACTTTGGGAGGCCGAGGCGGGCGGATCACGAGGTCAGGAGATCGAGACCATCCTGCCTAAAGCTGTAAAACCCCGTCTCTACTAAAATACAAAATATTAGCCGGGCATGGTGGCGGGCGCCTGTAATCCCAGCTACTCGAGAGGCTGAGGCGGAAGAATTGCTTGAACCCCGGAGGCAGAGATTGCAGTGAGCTGATATTACGCCTCTGTGCTCCGGCCTGGCAACAGAGCAAGACTCCGTCCAAAAAAAAAAAAAAAACCGTATAGACTAGAAAATACCAAAGTACACTCTGGATAATAAGAGCACATGTCTAATGAAACATTTTTTGGGTGTGTGCGTGTGGGTGTGTGTGTTAGGTTCTGATGTAAAATATACGTCTTATTGTGGAATATAATCCAAAAAGTTTGAAAGCCCTTGGCAGGAGCAATACCTTGCAGCCATCAGGGTGGTGCAGAGAAAGGAAGTCGCTTTTGTGCTGTCTCGGTGTTTGAAACAGGAAGCAGTGCGTGTCGTGGGTTCTCAGAGGCAGGTTCTGCAGGCAAAGCCTCCGCACATACACTGGAACTTGAGCAATTCACCCACCTCTCCTGTTCTTCTCATTCTTTGTTTGTTAACAAAAAGAGAAGGGATCGTAACCTTCCTACCTCGTTGGAATTTTAAGATAATTAAATATGGTAATATAAGACCTTAGAGCAAGGTGTGGCTCACAGCAAGTGTTCAATGTCAGTTTTTACCATGATTAGTATCATTGTCATCATTGCTCATACGCTGTGACCAGGTAACCCAGCATCACCTGTCCAGGTTTAAAGGTGCATTCAGGAGGTTTCAGGAGTGCAGCTCTGGAGGACGCGGCCGCGGAGAGGAGTCGGTGTAATACTCCAGACAGATGTCCACGTTAACTTCATGTGTTTCCCGAACATGATTTCCATGACAACTAATTTATTTGCATATTGCAGTAACTGAAAACACAGACTTCTGTAATTTTAGATTCTGAAGAGTTTTTTGTAAGGATTTGCCCCTTTAACTGCCTGTAAATTACAAGCACGCTCCCGTGCAAATGGGCATTCGAAAAGGAGTCGGAATTTGTCCCTGGGAGGTATTTGTGATTTAGATGGAAAATTAAATAGAAACAGGCTGGCTTTCCCTGGACAACAGCGATAACTTGCTGATGTGTTTGGAGGTCAGCCTGTGGCTGTGAAGTGTGGCTTCCAGGCTCATAGGAAGTGAAGGTCCGCTGTCGGGACCTTGCCAGCCTCGTTGCCCCAGATGTCAGGCTTCCAGAGGAACTCTGCAGTGCGTGACGAACGTATTGTTGCATCCTCTGAAGAGCTGAGAAACGTCATCAGTTTGTGATGCCTGGGCCACTCCGTGAAAGTGCTGTCAAGGATGGGAAGGTCCAGTTTTGTGGCAGGTCCAAGGGTTGAACACGACGAAGGAGGGACAAGGAAAGGAACTGCCTCCCACCTGTCACTCTGCGTGGGCTCCCTGCGTTCTGGTGCCTTGGTCAATATGCTTAACGCCACAGCAAACATGAAGGTCACAGGACGCGCATTCTCATTCTGCAGGTGAGGAAACTGAGGCACAGAGAGAGTGGTGACTTCTCCAAGGTCATTAGTGAATGAGTGGCCAGTCTAGGTCTGAACCAAGCCAAACCCTGTAGGACCTTTTGAGTATCCACACTGCTTCCCCAAGGAAACTAAAATATTATATGTCCAAGTCCAGGAGGTCCACTCAACAAATAAAAGGCAAACCTTGCATTTGACACCTGAAACTGAGGTCGGTGTTACATAATTAATAAGGAATTGTGTTTGGAGTAAACCTAGAAGGAACTTGCACATAAGATAATTTGCTCAATCAATCTGGCACATCTCCCTTTGCTAATGAGTTAGGCTTCTCCAGATAAATCTGTGAGAATGTTCCATTTTCTCAAACAGTATTTGTTCTCCCCAGGGCATCAGTTAGTTCAGCTTGAAACCTTTCTTATAATACAAGCATCGTCATTTTCACCACACTGTGGAACCGAAAATAAATTTCCCTAGTGGGTGACCATCCTCCATGGATGTAAGGGCTGTCTAGTGTAGGACAATCAATAGATGACCATCTTCCATGGACGTAAGTGCTGTCTAGTGTAAGACAGTCAATAGATGACCATCTTCCATGGACGTAAGGGCTGTCTAGTGTAGGACAATCAGTAGATGACCATCTACCATGGACGTAAGGGCTGTCTAGTGTAGGACAATCAGTAGATGACCATCTTCCATGGACGTAAGGGCTGTCTAGTGTAGGACAATCAGTAGATGACCATCTTCCATGGTCGTAAGGGCTGTCTAGTGTAGGACAATCAGTAGATGACCATCTTCCATGGACGTAAGGGCTGTCTAGTGTAGGACAATCAATAGATGACCATCTTCCATGGGCGTAAGTGCTGTCTAGTGTAAGACAGTCAATAGATGACCATCTTCCATGGACGTAAGTGCTGTCTAGTGTAAGACAGTCAATAGATGACCATCTTCCATGGACGTAAGGTCTGTCTAGTGTAGGACAATCAGTAGATGACCATCTTCCATGGACGTAAGGGCTGTCTAGTGTAGGACAATCAATAGATGACCATCTTCCATGGACGTAAGTGCTGTCTAGTGTAAGACAATCAATAGATGACCATCTTCCATGGACGTAAGGTCTGTCTAGTGTAGGACAATCAGTAGATGACCATCTTCCATAGACGTAAGGGCTGTCTAGTGTAAGACAATCAGTAGGTCACATGAGCAAAGGTGAACCCCAAAATCTGTTTAGGAATTGGAAAGAGAAACATTAGGCTCCAAGTCTTATCAGAGCCTGACAAAAAGCGTGCGTGTTTTATGTGCACTTTCTACCACCACTCGGGTTTGGTATTGGATGAATACTAGCTGCAGTTAGCAGTAATTACACATCTGACTAACAATCTTCAGAAGTCTCCCTGAGAACGGTGTTCCTCAGCCCTGTGACGCATCAGCCCAGGTAGGCAGGGCTGAGGGCCGACGGCCTCCCTAACGCGTCTGGTCCACAGTTCAGTGGGAGAAGCCCTGCTGGGAACAGCTGGGTTAGAGTGCACTCACGTTGCAGAAAGCCTGTTGCTAGCAAACAGATGTCCATTGTAGAAGAATGTGTGCTCCTCCCCATAAATTTCAAAGAAACAAATGTCCCATAAACTTAAAAATAACCCATGAATGTTATTACACTTACCTTGACAACATGATCAAAGTTGTTTATTTCACACGGTTTCATAAGCAGAAATCGCCAGCTAGTGATCACGGTTCAGACAAATGGTGGAAATCGTCGGCGGCATAGGGACGGGGCCAGCGTGGGTGTCAGCCGTGGGTGTGGCAGTTCCGCACTGACCTCGGTGCATTCCTGCTCTGGAGTCTAGCATGGGAAAATCACAGCCCAGAAGACCCTCGGGTTGCACGTGTGACTGACGCACTCCCCCGAGAGAGGCCAACACCTCACAGCAGCCTGCCGCAGCAGCGAAATGCCTGCACTGAGGCTGTCTGTTAAAAGCAAACAACATGGCAGTTGTTTTAGCCAAGCACGCTTCTTGCTGAGAATTCTAGGAGGTTCAGCTGACAGCAAATGCGTGAGTACCCCAGCTCGCTGTGTCCATGGAGTAGAGATCTCAGACTTCGCAGCTTTGACTTATCAATCTAAAGGTTAATTAGACAAACTGGGTGACTACTGCCAACATTTTCTAAAGACAGGTCACACTCTAGGTTTCTAATTTGTCTTCCGAATGACCCTGATCCTGGAAAGTGAGGCCCCGGGTCATGGTCGCACCGCCACCCTGTGCCATCTGTGTGTGCACGTTGGTGTCCCAGGCCACAGCGGAGAAAGATGGGAGAGGCCACAGGCCAGGCCCTGGGAGGATCAGTGGGATAAGCATCTGCCTTTCCCAGTGCAGAGGAGGATGGAAGAGGCCACAGGCCAGCTCCAGGGAGGCTCAGTGGGATAAGCATCTGCCTTTCCCAGTGCAGGGCAAGACGGGAGAGGCCACAGGCCAGCTCCAGGGAGGCTCGGTGGGATAAGCGTCTGCCTTTCCCAGTGCAAGGGAGGACGGAAGAGGCCACAGGCCAGCTCCAGGGAGGCTCAGTGGGATAAGCATCTGCCTTTCCCAGTGCAGGGCAAGACGAGAGAGGCCACAGGCCAGCTCCAGGGAGGCTCGGTGGGATAAGCGTCTGCCTTTCCCAGTGCAAGGGAGGACGGGAGAGGCCACAGGCCAGCTCCAGGGAGGCTCGGTGGGATACGCTACTGCCTTTCCCAGTGCAGAGGAGGAAGGGAGAGGCCACAGGCCAGCCCCACGGAGGCTCGGTGGGATACACGTCCGCCTTTCCCTGGGAACAGCTGGTGGGAGCGGTGCAAGCACAGCCCAGCTCAGAGGGGCCGTCACCCCCATCAGTGGCAAGTGGTTTGCCTCTGTGGCATAGCACCTGCCCATCTCCCAGAGACAATACTGCCTGGAAAATTGCAGCATTGAATTTCTAACCTAAAAATTGAGGTGAGACCTTGCTAAGCCCTCCTGGTCGTGTATGTAAGCTCGTTGGGAACTGCAGCTTTTCTCAGTAAAAGCTTCCTAATCATATGCAATTCCCTAAAAGTACACTTTTTAATAAACAATTATAGATGTGTAAGTTACAAAAATAATACAGAGAAATCCTGGGCACCCTTCCCCCAGTTTCACCCATGGTCACGTTCGTACAGTCCAAGGTCCAACACGAAACATCCTTCTTCCAGACAATGGCGGTCGAACCTCAGACCCATCCTTGCCTTCCTTCCCTCCTTCATTCATCCATCCATTTCAGCATTTACTGAAACCCTGCTGCCTACGCAATGTGATTGAGATGTTGAACTGAAAGGTACCAGGAGCTCACACATCCCCTCCCCTTCCCGGGTTATCTTACGTGATATGGGGCACAGATTTGCTTTAAATAATTTACTTCTGAGCGCCCACCACTCTGGAGAAGAGCTAGGCAGGCATTGGGTGGCGTCTTGTGGCCACACGAGCAGCCCCAGGTGAAGCAAAGCCTGCACCCAATTAGACATCTAGGAATTCACAGTGACGGGAAAGAGGAATTGTACATAATTAGAGATATGTTTTCTCTCCAGTACAAATGTCCTCTTTCTGCCTGAATTTAAATGCAACTCTCATTTTTTCTTATGCGACTATTCCCAGAAGGCTTCCCGCATCCTGCGAAGCGAAGGGTAACCCCCAACAGCCCAGGTGTTTTCAATGGCACACATGGTTCCTGCTTTCTGTTTCACATAACACAGAACCCCAGAGCACGTTTTAAGCTCCACTTTTAAAACTTAATGAAATTGTATAAAATTCAGCTACTGTATCAAGGAACAGCGAGAAAATATTGTGTTGGAGAATATAAAAGGAAATAATATGAATAGCGTTAATATTTCAGTAAGAGCTACACATGTGGTCAGGAGTGTGAAACTTCTATCAGCCATTTATGGGTGTTTCTCACCTCCAGGCGCCGCTAGAGAACTTTGCTTATACTCACCTATGTCACTCATCCCTTCACAGCTGTGTGGCCTCTCTGCTGTCACCCCATTCTAAAGGAGGGGACAGCACGTGACAGAACGAGTCCCACAGTCAGTGAGGATGGGCACACGCTGCAGGTGGAGGCCCAAGCTCCTAGTCCATGTAGCTGCTGCATCTCTCAGCAGGACAGGAAAGGAAGGCCGGCCTGAGTCCGGAGGGTGGCGCTCAGCGTGATGCCACCCAGAGTCTGACAGAGCTGCATGGCAGGACCCCGGGGAGATGAAAGCCAGCCCCACGAGGGGAAGAGCCCCTACAAGAGCACAGCCAGCGGGCAGGAGCACGCAGGGAGACCGACGTGCAGGGACACCAACGTGTAGAGAGACTGACGTGGAGGGAGACCGACATGGAGGGAGACCGACGTGCAGGGAGACCAACGTGCAGGGATACCGATCCCTGCAGGGAGACCAACATGCAGAAAACGCATGTTTGGCCTGAAATGGGATGGATGCATCCAACCAAAGAGAAAACAAGGAAGGAGGAGACATGGAAGGCAGCCTTGGAAATCACGGAGAGTTGTTGCATTGATTCTTTTGCAGCCGATGAGCACACCCACCCTGCACTTGAGTTTCAGGGCCAAGGTGTCTTTCTTTCTTTTGAAGGGAAAAAGGACCTGGGCCAGAGAAACCATCATGGAGGCATCCTGGGAGGGGCACAGAGAAAAGGAGTCCTCTCCCTTCCCTTAAGACAGACAGGGCAGTCAGCATACACATGCACATACATGAACACACAGGCATGCACACAGATGTGCACACACACACGCAGACACATGCACACACACGTGCAGACATGAAAACAATTGTAGACATGCAAAAATATGCAGACAGAAATGTGCACACACACACACAGGTGCATGCACATGCAGACACACATGCAGATGCACACAAACACGAGCAGACATGAAAATACAATTGCAGACATGCAAAAATATGCAGACACACGTGCATGCACACACACATGCAGACACAAGCACACACACATGCAGACATGAAATATACACATACACATGTTGACACACACAACATGCACAAATATGCAGACACACAAACACATGCACAGATAGGCACACTCACACACTTGTATGCACACACATGCACAAACATACAACACATACAACACACCTGACCTGTCTGCCCCTCCAGTCTGTTCCCTGCTCCCATTCCCTCTGTACTGTGCTATGGACTCTTTAATTCCTTTCCCTTTTCCTCCACATCTCACAGAGGGATGGGCTTATTACAATGTGCAGTTCCCTTAATGGATGAGTGAGTGAATGAGTGCAGGAGGGAATGATCGAGTGAGTGAATGACTGGATGAGTGACTGAGTTACTGAGTGAGAATGAGTGAGTGAGTGCATGAATGAGTGAGTGAATGAGTAACTGAGTGAATGAGTGAGTGGGTGAGTAAAAAAGTACATGAATGAGTGCATGAATGAGTGACTGAGTGAATGAGTGACTGAGTGAGGAAAGGAAAGAGGGAGGGAATGAGTGAGTGAGTGATTGGATGAGTGACCAAGTGAGTTACTGAGTGAGAATGAGTGAATGTGTGCATGAATGAGTGAGTGAATGAGTGAGTTACTGAGTAAATGAGTGAGTGAAAGAGCACACAAATGAGTGACTGAATGAGTGCATGAATGAGTGAGTGAATGAGGGAGGGAGGGAGTGAATGAGTTCATGAATGAGTGAGTGAATAAGGGAGGGAGTGAATGAGTGAGTGAGTGACTGAGTGAATGAGTGGGTGACTGAGTGAAAGAGTGAGTGACTGAATGAGTGGGTGACTGAGGGAAAGAGTGACTGAGTGAATGAGTGGGTGACTGAGTGAAAGAGTACATGAATGAGTGAGTGAATGAGTTCATGAATCAGTCAGTGAGTGAGTGAGTGCATGAATGAGTGAGTGAATGAGGGAGGGAGGGCGTGAATGAGTGAGTGAATGAGTGCATGAATGAGTGAGTGAATCAGGGAGGGAAGGAGTGAATGAGTGAGTGAGTGACTGAGTGAATGAGTGGGTGACTGAGTGAAAGAGTGAGTGACTGAGTGAATGAGTGGGTGACTGAGTGAAAGAGTGAGTGACTGAGAAAATGAGTGGGTGACTGAGTGAAAGAGTACACGAATGAGTGAGTGAATCAGTGAGTGAGTGAGTGCATGAATGAGTGAAAGGCACAATCAGGCTTGTGCCTTTTTTTGTGCTGAAATTAGTTTTAAGCAGGTGAAACTCCCTACAGCTTCAAGAGGATGAGGAGATATGTTTTGTTCTGTTTGCTTGAAACAATAAAATACATAAAAAATGAAGCACCTCATCCACTGTCTCAGGCAGCGAGAGCCTGCCAGTCCCCAACAGCCCCAGGGTGCAGAGGTGAGGAAGGCTTTCTCACCTCCGCGGTCACCAGGAATCGAGGTTCAGTAGAATCACCCCATCTTGAAGGCCGCAGCCTCAAGGTCCAAGTCTTCATTCCCCAGGTTGAAGACATGAGCTGGGGACCCCCATGGCTGTGGGTGGAGGGCGAGTCCTGGACGTAGTGCTTCATTCTGTCTTTTGAAAGGGGTGATGTTAGAAAGTGAGTTCTGGCAGCTGTGGGGAGGAAGAAGTCAAGCCCTCTGTGGGGTCAGGAGCTTGGAAAAAGGACCCTGAAGAGTTAGACCTGGAGTGGCCAGACCTAGGCAGGGATGGAAGAACGGATGTGGAGCCCAGGAGGAGCAGAGAGCACGCCATGAGGGAGGGGCCGTGGTGAGGGGCACCCCTGGGCGCCCAGTGCTTGGTCCTGCAACACCTTACGTCTCAGGGCGTTTCCCCACCCCCTGCTCCACTGAGAGCCTCCCACCCTGGCCTCGTTTCCTCCACCGAGCTGTGCATCCTCAGGGAGAGAGAGCAGAAGAGCCGCTCCTCTTTGGAAAACTGAGAAGCTCTCCTCCGAGTCAGTGCTCTCCCCATCCACCAGCAAGGGGCCCCTCCATCCGAATGCAGGCACACACCTGCTAAAATGCACCACACAGCAGAAGGGCCTCCCGTTTCTGGCTAGGAGAGCCCTGCCTGTGGCAGGCAGCAGCATTTGCAAGCCTCTCTGCAGTTACGCTTGGAGTTTTGGTGTGGTGGAAATAGGCAAGAAGTCGATGTCCAGCTGCTTGTTGGATTAGGGATCACAAATGTGTGTTTATTTTCCAAAAACAAGACATTGGCATGATAGTGTGGCCCTGGGGGCAGGGTCATGGAATAAGACAGAGACTGGGGAGCCTTGCACAAAATAACCATCCCCCACGGTATGTTGTTTGGACCTGGGAACTTTCTGGAGCAAGTGCTCATCGTCAGTAACACACACTAACTGAATTTCACTCAAGGCAGATTTGTGGACTATTTTGTTGAAATGACATCTGTAGAAAAATTTAAAAGTGATTAAAACTGATGGCTGCTGCCGGATGATGGAGTCTGGTGCATCTCAGACAGCCCTTATTTGGAACAGTCTGTGGGCATGTCTAGGTTATTGAGTGTTACGCTTCTGTGTTATGTGACTTGTCCGTACCATTTAGCCTCCCAATTGGACACGGAATCGAGTTTGCTAGCGTTCAGCCCTAACTGGAATGGCGACTGCTCCCAAATTGCATTCTGGCCCTAATGAAATCTGTCTGCTTCATCCTCATCTGCCAGGACACAGCACATTAGCTCTTATGGGTTTTGTTGTTTGTTTTTGTCTTCAGATTGTCGGTTCTGTGGCTGTGGCAAACCGAGTGGAGGTTTAAGATGGACTTTTAAATACAAATTATGAAGGGAAAAAGCAAGTCACTTCATGTATGCTTGTGCATTTACAAGGCACATAGAACAAAGCTGACATTTATATAACGTTTGAGTTTCATAAGAGCATGGCTGTGGTGACTGTCCAGTTTTTAGATGAAGAAATTGAGTCTCATCCAACCTTGATCAGCTAATAAATGACCACGTGGTGATTTCGGCCCAGACACCCTTATGTTCCTAGTAGACTTGAGCTCAAGTCATATAAATTTGGTTCTCCCTGCCATGGACAATGGTTCTTGAGTAAATTATGGAGTCTTTGAGATTTGTTTTTCTCAGGCTCCAAATATTGTGATAATATATAAATTGTACAGTGATTCTGCAAACCATATCGAACCCATGTTAGATATTTGCATTCTAGTCACTGTCTTTGGCTACTGGAAATGATTGTATGTGTGTGCACATCAGCATTCAGTGGATACTGAGCGGCATCTGGATATTTAGTAAAACACATTCTCACGCCAGTGCCCGTGCTTCTCCCTCTGCGTGGCTAAGATGAGACCAACTCTGCTTGGAGGGTCCTGTCCATCCCAGGCCCTCCCGACCGTGTGTCCTCCAGCTAATTCCGAAATTTTGAGTGCCAGGATCTCAACAACGAGCCACAGATAGGAGCCTGTGGTCCCTGCCGTGAAGGAGCTGGCAGTCCAGGAAGGGATACGAAGGCTTGGCTTTCACATGTGATGTGCTAAGGTGTCAGAAGGGAAGAATATTTCAGCTGCAATTGGGAAGAAACAGAAGGGGCTTCTGGAAAATGAGCAACGCTGTCCTGGAAAGTGAAGAACACCAAAGTTAGCTCAGCTTTACGCAGCGGCATGTCCCATCCTACGCCTGAAAACCAAAAAGCATAGAACCCTTGTCTACTTGGAAATCTTAAAAAAAAAATCTAAACATGTGCTTTGTGTGCCAAACAGTAGCTCCAGGTTCACTGACTGCCCGAAATTCAGTGTTTTGCACGACAAGTTCATTAACCTGCTGCTGAAAGGGCCTTTGCAATTCAAGGTTGGATCCATCAGAAAATAGAATATGAAACTGATAAAGCTCTCTTTTCAAGTCAATACTTTATTTCCTCTCCAGGAAGAGACTTTCGTTAGAGAGGCACAAGCTGCATTCTCTGACCCTGATCCCCTTGTTTAACGGTTCTGACGACCCTGAGCCTGGCTCTCCCCATGCACCTTCCCCATGGACACCACCTCTTGCCTAAACTAGATTAAATGTTCCAGACCCCAGAAGAAAAGTCCAGAACTCATTGTGGGCCTGGGATCCGTATGCACTTGCCTGCCTGTAAGAAGCCAGCCTGCGGGCCTGGCCCAGCTGGGATGTCAGCATCCTGGGGACCTGGCCCTGTGCTGCCTGTCACAGTGGGTTTTGTGCTCAGCAGGTGATGGCCCCGGCAGGGCCGCCCATGGCTTCCTTTGGGGGCACAGAGCAGGGGAGCATGGGTGGGGTGGGGATCCTAGACCAAAGGGGCGTGGCTGGGTTTGGGTCTATCCTCCCACACCTGCCCTGGGAGCCTCGGTTTCCAGTCTGCAGGAGGAGGAGGAGCTCCCAGCTGCTTCGCAGGAGCAGGAGGTGTGGGCCATCGCTGTTGGCTGCATGTGAAGGAGGGGCCTT
The DNA here is from genome assembly GCF_000001405.40 of Homo sapiens. NCBI lineage: Eukaryota > Metazoa > Chordata > Mammalia > Primates > Hominidae > Homo > Homo sapiens. The sequence goes on from NT_187565.1 coordinate 225,585, forward strand.
CTCCACTGAGAGCTCTCTCTGCCCCTGGAGTGCTGGGCACGCTGTCCCCATCTCTGCTTCCCAACATACCATGGGCTATACACCTGATGAACATGTTAGTGATTATCTGACGAGATCAATGGTTCATCAGCTATCGATGGGGTGTCCACAATGGCTGAGGAGAAGAACAGCTGCAGGCCCCCACCCCGGAGCTCATGGTTCACAGAGGGAAGAAGATGGGAAAACGCTGGGGCACACGGAGGGGAGCGATGCAATCGGGGAACCCAGAAAGTATTTGGGGAGCAGGAGGAGGTTCACTCCGAGTGGTTTCCCGTGTTCTTCACCCCTCGCACTGGCGTGGTGCATCTGTCACAATTGATGAGCCAGGATTGATGTGTTAGTGACTAAAGCCATCCTTCATCCTTCACGTCAGGGGTCACGCTTGGCATGGTCCACCCTGTGGGTTTGGACGAGTGTTTAATGGTGTGGACTCCCCACTGCCACCTCACACAGAGCAGTTTCCTTGCCCTAAAAATCCTGCGTGCTCCCCCTATTCATCCCTCCCTGCCCCCAACCCCTGGCAAACACTGACTCTTTCGCTACCTTTGTAGTTCTGCCTTTTCCAGAATGACCCATGGATTCAAAGAGTGTGAAGGCTTTTTCATGGCTTGGGAGCTCATTTCATTTTAGCACTGAATAATATTCCACTGCCTGATGTAACGGTTTACTCACCTCCTGAAGGACATCTTCCAAGTTTGGGCAATTGTGAATAATGTTGCTATACACATCTGTGTGCGGGTTGATGTGTGGATGTAAGTTTTGAGCTTCTTTGGGTGAATACCTGGGGGCGTGATTGCTGGACTGCATGGTGAGTGCCTAGTTTTGTAAGAAACCACGAAACTGTCTTCCAAAGTGGCTGCACCGCTTTGCACTCCCACGGGTAATGAAAGAGTTCCTGAGGCTCCGCGTCCTGGCCGGCGTGTGGTACTGTTGGGGTCTGGATTCTGGCCGTTCTATTCGGGGTGTGGTGGTGTCTTGTTGTTGTTTTAATTTGGAATACTCGGGCGGGAGGTGATATGGGGCGTCTGGTTTGCACACTTGTTTTAATTTGGAATACTTGGGCGGCAGGTGATATGGGGCATCTGGTTTGCACACTTGTTTTAATTTGGAATACTCGGGGGCAGGTGATATGGGGCATCTCTGGTTTGCACACTTGTTTTAATTTGGAATACTTGGGGGCAGGTGATATGGGGCATCTCTGGTTTGCACACTTGTTTTAATTTGGAATACTCGGGCGGCAGGTGATATGGGGCATCTGGTTTGCACACTTGTTTTAATTTGGAATACTCGGGGGCAGGTGATATGGAGCGTCTCTGGTTTGCACACTTGTTTTAATTTGGAATACTCGGGCGGCAGGTGATATGGGGCATCTCTGGTTTGCACACTTGTTTTAATTTGGAATACTCGGGCGGCAGGTGATATGGGGCATCTGGTTTGCACACTTGTTTTAATTTGGAATACTCGGGGGCAGCTGATATGGGGCGTCTCTGGTTTGCACACTTGTTTTAATTTGGAATACTCGGGCGGCAGGTGATATGGGGCATCTGGTTTGCACACTTGTTTTAATTTGGAATACTCGGGCGGCAGGTGATATGGGGCATCTGGTTTGCACACTTGTTTTAATTTGGAATACTCGGGGGCAGCTGATATGGGGCGTCTCTGGTTTGCACACTTGTTTTAATTTGGAATACTCGGGCGGCAGGTGATATGGGGCATCTGGTTTGCACACTTGTTTTAATTTGGAATACTCGGGGGCAGGTGATTTGGGGCGTCTCTGGTTTGCACACTTGTTTTAATTTGGAATACTCGGGTGGCAGGTGATATGGGGCATCTGGTTTGCACACTTGTTTTAATTTGGAATACTCGGCAGCTGATATGGGGCGTCTCTGGTTTGCACACTTGTTTTAATTTGGAATACTCGGGGGCAGGTGATTTGGGGCGTCTCTGGTTTGCACACTTGTTTTAATTTGGAATACTCGGGGGCAGGTGATTTGGGGTGTCTCTGGTTTGCACACTTGTTTTAATTTGGAATCCTCGGGTGGCACGTGGTGTGGAGCATCTTTGGTTTCCACGCTTGGCATCTGAGTGTCCTCTTCGGTGGGGTCCACTCAGACCTTTCGCCCATTTTTCCCAGTTGGGTTTGATGCACCAGCATCCTGCCGTATAACAGTCTGGTTCTGATGCTTGTTCTGTTTCTTCAAGCTGTGTCTTCTGTGTTGAAATATGCCTTGTGGTAGTTTTGCTGAAAGCCGAAACAGCTGAGTGCATGGGGAAGCTGGCAGGTGTGCAGCAGCCGGGGCCCAGGGCATCACACCCACAGGGGCCTGGGGGACCTCCTTTTGCTCAGAGCACGGGATCCACAGTGCTGGGGCCAAGGCCAGTCAGAGCCTCACGCACGGGTGCTGGGTCATCACCATGCCCGGGAAGCTGGGCCCCCGGCCATCAGCAGATCCTTTACTTCCTTACGTCTTGGTTTTCTCCTCAGTGAAGCAGGACGCACAGGTTTCCTCATGTGGCCATTGCAAGGATTTAAGGGGACGCCTGTAAAGTCACCAGCAGAACCTGGGAGCTGAGTGGAGGAGCTTCTTTTTCAGCAGAAAGAGGGAGAATGAGTTTTCAGGATCAGGAGACGGCAGTGACCTGCTGTGTAAACTTTCAAATTACACGCGCCAAGTGGTTCTAAATAAATGAATCAGGTTAATTAGCAAACAACAGCCATTTATTCTCTTTAATAGCCTCATGGGATATCAAGAGGCTATTATATGATATGATATCATGCATTTTGGCATGAAAATTAGGGAGTAGCTCTACATTGCTAAAGGGATGCAGCTTTTTACCTGGGTGACAGATGTATATGTTTTAAAGTAACTTAAATGCATTACCCTTTGCTCTTCACGTCAGCCACATAAACTAAGGACCAGGGGCAGCTGGAGACTCACTGGTCAGAACCAGCAGCACTGGGGTCACACCCAGGCTGGGAACCTGCAGACGGCACTGCCCGTGCGGCATCTCCTGGGACCTGGGAGCTTTCACGCCACGCGTATGATAAGTTCTGGGGGGCGGGAGTGAGGAAAAGGCCCCCCTCTGGTGGTCCGGGCCCATGGTCCTGCCAGGGGCCCACAGCATGAAGATGTAGCTCCCTCACACACACGTTGAATTTGGATTTGCTTGTCTGGCTTCTGCTGGGGCGCAGGATGTGGGGATGGAAGGACCAAGACACACGACAGAGAACAGCGTCACGGGGTCACCGTCCCACTTCCCACCCCGCGCCTCACAGCACAGACGGGGGATTTGCCGGCCTCACGCCGGCCGAGCCACTGCTGACTTCACGCAGCCCCAGCCATGCCCCCACGCAGACACACGGAGCCCCAAGGCGGGCCAGATCTCAGGGCCGGATGGGGCTGTGGAGCTGTGCCTTAGACGGGGGGGAAGGACTCCCTGCCCCAGGCCGGCACCGCACAGTCCCTGGGTAGAAAATTGAGTCCTGTTTGGAGGACAGCTGCTCCCACATCTGGGGGCCTCTGGATCTGCAGGGCAGGGCTTTGGTGGTCCATAAACATACCCCGAGGAACACTCGTGGAGCCGTCTGCATTTTATTTTTGTCAATTATGGCACTAATCATGTCCTTTTACTAGAGATCCCGCAGTGTCTGTGCTCCTTCGTTACATCCCTAAAAGACAAGCTCCCGAGGGCCATCCATGGTGGCCTCCCAGCAGTTCCTGCACGTCACAGCATTTAAAAGAAATCCAGTGAATAAAACAGTTCAGCTTCAATTCAGTAACCGCATAGAATTTCACTTGTGAATTGAAAAGTTCAGGGCCTGAGATAATCTTAAGCTGCTGGATCTGTGGGGAAAACAAACATCTGAGGTCCAGAATTCGTTTGGAGACTCCGCCGCAAGTCCGGATTCGGCATCAGATCAGCTGTGCTGTGTGTGCTTCCAAAGACGTTTCTGATCTGCAGGGACGTCGTCCCGTGTAAGAGTTCAGCGGTGCCTCCACTCTGGACGGCAGAACTGATCCCCAGACGGGGCTGGCCTTGTCTTTCAAGCAGAGACCAGAGTGGGCTTTTAAAGGGGAACATCTTCAGGGTGTGCGTCGGGGTCAGCCTCATGTTCCCAGAGCCCATCTGAGAGGCCGGCAGGGAGGAAGGGACCCTGTTCCTTGCTGTCTGTTGTCCACCAATCTCCTTAGAAGGTTGTCTCTTTAGGGGACAACACAGACCCTCACCGGTGCTGACTGGGAGGAAGGAGCCTGGCTACCCCCAGCTGTGCTTCCAAGCAGTGTGAGTCACATTTAGCGTTGTTTGCAGAACTGAAATGCTCCCTGTAGAGTCAGCTTGGGCAGCCCTAACTAAGGAGCCCAGACTGGGCGGCTTAAACAACGGACGTTGATTCTCCCATGTCCTGGAGGCTGCAGTTCAAGACCAAGGTATGGCAGAGCTGAATCCTGCTGAGGCCCCTCTCCCTGGCATGCAAACCCCATCTTCTCCTTGTGTCCTCACAGCGTCATCCCTCCGTGCGTTTTTGTGTCCCCATATCATCTTCTCAAAAAAATAGATCCTGGAGCTCTTTCCATATAATCACATAAAAAACCTTCTCATTGCCTTTCCAAGGGTACAAGTGACGTCACACAGTGAGAGGGACACAGTCATCGGACCAGCTTACAGTCTTCCCACCGCCTTGCCACAGACCTGGGCTTTCTGTGAACATCTCAGGTCCTTCCGTCTGCATCACTCTTACCACCCGTGGGTTCATCATCTTCCCACATGATCCTGGGACCTTTTAGCGCTGTGTTCTGCTAACCCTCCTGCACACCCTTGGCCATTTGTCCCCGGTTATTTGTTGGTATTTTTCTTCTTGACTTCTTGGTGGTTTTGCGGGGAGATTGTCCTTTTGTGGATGGCGGAGCAGCCAATCCTTTCCCTGGCTTTCATTTGCCTTTACTTTGCTTCCATTGTTTTCTTTCTGTTCAGAAGTGCTGAGTGTGCTCAAATTCCTTGGTCCTTTTTGTACAGCTTCTGGATTTTCAGCTGTTGTTAGGTCTCCTGAGGCAACAACTTCAAAGCAATTCACCGGTGTGTCTCTAGGACTCTGATGTCTTTTTTTTTTTTTTTTTTTTTTGATATATGACATTGTTGAAACTTTTGGGGAGCAAACTTACCTTAAAGTCATGAGTTCAAAATTCAAACCAGGCTTCTGACAAGTTACTACCACTATGTATTATCTAATGTTTAGTTTTTGGTTAATGGCTTTTTATTTTAGTTGGATTTTTCTGAATGAAATTGATTGCTGTTAGCTGGTGGAATTACAGGAGCATTTTCCATCCATTTTTTCTGAGCTGCGCAGTTATTGATGGTGACCATCAGAGTCCCAGTGTACAATCCTGGCGATGGCAGAACAGGGAGGTGGGCAGACCCCAAAGCTGCGGTCCTCAGAAAATGGAAGAACTCAGGACTTACACAGCAGAAGCTCCACACTTCTAAAGATTTAGTGAATTCCCAGATCCAACCATGTGCGAATCGCAGAAAGAATAGTAGATTTAAAAAGTCACCTTGAGATTCTAATGCTGGGAGGTTCTTCCTGATCTCACCTCTGCTTATACAGTGTATCCTCACTCCCAGCCTCTTAGCAAAATGCCCCAAATCACCTGTGTGGTGTTGGGCAGTGATGGAGCCTAGGTGTATCTTGGCCTCATCTCTTGTGTGACATTGGGTAGTGACGGGACCTCAGCATGTCTTGGCCTCATCTCCTGTGTGACGTTGGGCGGTGATGGGACCTTGGTGTGTCTTGGCTTTGTCTGTAAAGTGGATTTATGCTGCAGGCTAAGTATCCCTCTTCTGAAATGCTTGGCATTAGACGTGTTTCAGATTTGGAATTTTTTTGGAATGGGGGACATTTGCATTACATACTTGCCAAGTGAACATCCCTAATCCAAAACTCTGAACTCCAAAGCGCTCCAGTGAGCATTTCCTCTGAGCGTCACCGTGGCAGCCAGTAAGTTTCAGATTTGGGAGTAACAATGTAATGACAATGCTGTGAGCGCTTCTCAGTTCCCATGGTGTTCCCAACGGGCTTCAGTTCCTGAACGCTGTTCCCTCCTCTGCTGGAGCCTCCTGCATTGACTCCCCAGGTGGACGTTGCGGTGGCGATTGTGTTTTTACACTCACGGGTCCATAGCCCTGCTCTGTGACAGCGCCTCACCTGCGTTAACCTTCCTACCTCTTACCTGCACGCCTACCGGCAGGGCTGAGAGTCTCCCCCACTCACAGGGGAGGAATTGGGGGCTCAGAGGGTGGGAATGCATGTGGGTCCAAGGGCAGTCAGTGGTGGAGCTGGATTTAGACTCATTCAACTTAGACTCCGGAGCCCAGGACCATAATCATGGGCAGTGCTGCCTCTTTATTTTGGAAGCAGATGATGAAACACCTGAATTACAATCATTTGAACAAGCAAAGCTGGTTTGTTCTCATAGCGAGACTTCCCGAGGAGGACGGTGGTGAGTCCTGGCTGACCGCTGAGTTCTGCCACTGAAGACAAAGGCTTTCTTCATCTTTTCACTCTGCCATCCTTATTGGGTTGACTTTAAGTCCTCTTGGTTGCAAGGAGGTTGCCAGGTATCCAGCCACTAACTCCACATCAAGAGAGGAAGGAGGGAGCTGCAGTGGTGTGAGCTACGTCTATCCCTGTTATTGGAAACCCAGAGCTTCCCAGAGACTCCCCTACGTGACTTCCATTTACCTCTCAGGCCCAGGGTTCTCTCTGGGCAGCCCTCCTGCAGCAGAGCCTGGAAAGGGGGCGGTGGCTTTGCCACCTTGGAGAGGAGAGGGCAGGGCAAGAGCAAAGGAAACGTGGTGTGGCCTCGAGTTAGGCTGCAAGCAGCGGGTGCCGTCACAAGCCCACCCGTTACCACGACTTCGCATCGTCTACATTGCAGGCTCACGTTCACATGCCCTATCCAACCCTCTCCTGCGAGCAGCGGGTGCCATCACAAGCCCACCCGTTACCACAGCTTCACATCGTCTACACCGCGGGCTCACGTTCACACGCCCTATCCAACCCTCTCCTGTGAGTTCACAAATCCGTGACTGACATGGTGTGCACCTCGTCCTCTTGTCCAGGCTTCTCACAAACAAAATGTCCCACCCCAGCTTTCAAGTCTCACCAGAGCCTTTGCTGCCCCATGCCTGAGTGACACCACCATCCACCCGGCTCCAGCCAGAGGCCCTTGCCCACTGATCCCCTCCGGGAGGGGCCACCTGGCACATCTCTGAGTCAAGTCACCGTCACAGGCAAGCTCCCGCTTCTCACGTGCAGGACAGATGGCGCCAGGAAGAGGATGTCAGTGGAAAGCCATAATAAGTTCAAACATGAAATTAGTGTCTCACACAGCAGCTCTGGTCTTTGTCAGACTTTAATTGGGATCAGCACAGATTCATTGCCATGGAGAGGGAAGTAAAATGGGTAAATTCCAGTGCATTTCTGAGAGTGAGAAAAGTTTCTATTTTTCCTAAGGAAAGAAGAGAACTGAAATACGCTTCCTTTTATAACCTATCTATGTGGGAACGGAACGGAAATATTCAGAATGTAAAACACTCCTGCCTGTGTCTATGCAGCATGCACGGCGTAACTGGGGCTGGCACGAGGGGTCAAGGACAAGCAGGACTCTACCTGCCACCCCCCTCAGGGGGACACAGTGCACGCGTTTAGCATCTCCCAGGACATGTGCTACCTGAAGCCCAAGGGAAAGTCCACCCATTTTTAATATTTTCTGTTTGAAAAAAAAAATACACAGCTCATCTTTATGTTCAACTATGCTTTTAAGTATCTGCAAAAAAAAAAAAGTTCATTCAACTGATTGTATTACATACAATTTTCATGGACATTTTTTGTACAGTTATGACACTTCAGCTAAAAGAAAAAAGTCCTTACTGAAAGAGGCTTAAAATACAGAAAGCTTTGCCTCTCCTGGAGGAACCATCAATAACGTGGCTTCCAGCCACTGCACGGCAGTGACTGCTGTGCGGTCCAGGCCTCCACCCCGTCGGACGCAGCGATACCTTTGAAAACAGCACCTCCTCCTGGGTTACTGGGTTCCACTGCTGGAACAGCTGCCCCGAGGCTTTCTAGCTTTCCTCCTCAGGCCACTGGCCAGGTCTAGGCCCAAGCAGGAGCCCACCCCAGGCAGGAGGACAAGTATCCCAGGAGGACCTGAGCCCACGAACACTCCTGGCTCACTGCCCAGGCCTGGAGTGAACAGGGCATTGTTCCCACCCCAGTGCCAGGGATGAGGGCAGAGGAAGAAAGTAAAGCAAAACAGAAGACGTCATAAACTCCTAAGCCCAGAGCACTGGGAGATCTCACATCTATGAAAACTTCTCAAAGGGCGGTGCCTCCACCAGGAGCAGCAGCAGCTAGGAACTTGACAGAAATGTAGATTCTCAGGGCCCACCCGGGGGCTGGCCTGCGATACCCCAGGTGATTCTCATGCTGAGAATAAATGTGATGCTGGCTCTGTCTCCTGTCACCACCTTCCGCCTGGAGCCTCTTGTCCTCAGTCAACATGGCTTTGCCATTGCAGCTGTAGGGACAGGTGAGTGGGTGACCAGATGACCGAGCTGAAACAGGCCCTGGCAGTAAGGAGCCTGGCCTTCCTGTTTGGAAACAGGAGGATGAGCCAAGGAGGAGACACAGGAAAGGAATGTCCTGCCATCTTAAGGAAGGACTGGGAGCTCCCCTTTTACAGAAAGCAAACAAATGCTTGATTTCCTAGGTGCTTCCAGGCAGAAAATAGTGATGCTCAGGAAACAGTAAAAGCCTTTCTGCAATTTTTAAAAATCAGTTCTTTCCTCACTTATTGATTCCTAGCATTTCCTAAAATGTTCACGTGATATTTAACCTTCCTCATGTTTATAAAATTATAGTGGCTAAAAATCCTTCTGTATTAGTCTGTTGTCCTACTGCTTTATATAAAGAGCTGCCTGAGACTGGGTAATTTATAAAGGAAAGAGGTTTAATTGACTCACAGTTCAGCATGGCTGGTGAGGCCTCAGGAAACTTACAATCGTGGCGGAAGGTGAAGGGGAAGCAAGGCACCTACTTCACAAGGTAGCAGGAAGGAGAAGGGGAAGAGCCCCTTGTAAAACCATCAGATCTTGTGAGATCTCACTCACTATCATGAGAACAGCATGGGGGATACAGCCCCCAGGATTCAATGACCTCCACTTGGTCTCTCCCTTGAAACATGGGGATTATAGGGATTGTCATTGAAGATGAGATTTAGATGGAGACACAAAGCCTGGCCATATCACCTTCTTATGATGTCTTTCATGCCACAGATTATCTCAGTGGTGGCCAACAAGATGGACCGAAGACTTCAGAAGCAACAGGAGAGCTGAGGGTTGGAGTGTTCATCATATGCTGAGAAAAATTCATGTTTATAGAAAGCACCAAAAATATTAATTACCCAAAGAGAGTGAGTCACCAGGTGCTGTCAAACCCAAGGCAGGGACTCGAGTTGCCAAAAATTCCAGACAACTGCTGATATGGTGAACATTAAAAAATTACAGAAGTTAAGCTTGAACAATGTGAAAAAATGGCAAATAATTACTCTTTGAACAGACACTTATCAGGGAACCTGCCCCGATATTCACGTAGGTTCTTTTCTATTTTCCTTAAGCGTTGGCCAGCTTGAGAAATAAAGGGACAGACTACAAAAGAGAGAAATTTTAAAGCTGGGCATCCGGGGAGACATCACATGTCGGTACGTTCCATGATGCCCCACAAGCCACAAAAACCAGCACGTTTTTATTAGGGAGTTTCAAAAGGGGAGGGAGTGTGCGAATAGGTGTGGGTCACAGACATCAAGTACTTTACAAGGTAATAGAATACCACAAGGCAAGTGGAGGCAGGGTGAGATCACAGGACCACAGGACGGGAGCGAAATTAAAATTGCTAATGAAGTTTCGGGCACCACTGTCATTGATAACATCTTATCAGGAGACAGGGTTTTGAGATCAACCGGTCTGATCAAAATTTATTTGGCAGGAATTTCCTCTTCCTAATAAGCCTGGGAGCACTATGGGAGACTGGGGTCTATTTCACCCCTACAGTCTCAACCACAGGAGACAGGTGCACCTGGGGGGGCTGTTTATAAGCCTATACCTCCAGGCACGTATTCTCTTTCCCAGGGATGTTCCATGCTGAGAAAAAGAATTCAGCGATATTTCTCCCATTTGCTTTTGAAAGAAGAGAAATATGGCTCTGTTCTGCCCAGCTCACCGGTGGTCAGAGTTTAAGGTTATCTCTCTTATTCCCTGAACAATTGCTGTTATCCTGTTCTTTTTTCAGGGTGCCCACATTTCATATTGCTCAAACACACATGCTGTACAATTTGTGCAGTTAATGCAATTATTACAGGGTCCTGAGGCGACATACATTCTCCTCAGCTGACAGGATTAAGAGATTAAAGTAAAGACAGGCATAGGAAATCACAAGGGTACTGAATGGGGAAGTGATAAGTGTCCATGAAATCTTTACAGTTTATGTTTAGAGACTGCAGTAAAGACAGGCATAAGAAATTACAAAAGTATTAATTTGGGGAACTAATAAATGTCCATGAAATCTTCACAATCCACGTTCTTCTGCCATGGCTTCAGCCAGTCCCTCCGTCTGGGGTCCCTGACTTCCTGCAACAGACACTCAAATTGTTGTGGTGATTATAACAATTCCACGTGCATACCTTCCCCACTTCCAGCAGAGGTAGGTGAAGACTTGGGGTCAGAAGAGACTGTTTCCTATGTGTGAATATCAGCCAGTGGTGTGATCTGGTCTATCAGGAATTCAGTAGGCTGAAATTCCAACTGTAAAGAACATTTTTGGATTCCATATATAAATGGTTAGGTACAAAAATTTGTTTTCTAACATTCCTCACTTTGAAAGTTCATTCCAATGTTTTCTGTTTAATAAATATTGAGAAACCATAAAGTTTCCAAATGTATTCCACATTCCCTTGAAAGTGCTGAAACTTTGTTTCTTTTTTAAGTTTATTTTTGAAGCAACTTAAGTTCCTCCCCTCCCCGCTAAAAAAGCAGGCAACTGGTTAAGTATGGTGCATTAATTAAATAGTAAGATATTATTAGAGAGCGTGTGCGTGTGTGTGTGTGTGTGTGTGTGTGTGTGTGTTCAGGTTCTTAACCTGGGACAAATTTCATAAGAGATAATAATGAGATAAGGAAAAGCTTCTTTCTGTATTCTCCTAGAATAAGTTTCCAGGTCAAATTACTTGCTAAAAGGACCTGTATTTCAAAAGCTGTTTTCTTCATTTAGTTCAGTGGTTTGACTGTTAGTGAGGTTAGAATTTTTTTCAGCTATTTGGTATTAATTTGTATTTTCATGTCTATGAAATTATTTCATACTGATAATTTTTTGAAGGAAATGTTTTCTTATTTACAGGAATCTTTTAAATATTAAGTATGTTATTGCACTCCAGCCTGGGCAACAAGAATGAAACTCTGTCTCAAAATAAAGTAGATATATTAGTGTTTAGGATGTATATTTCCTTTTTTATATTTTAATATTCTCTAAGAGGAAAATTCTCTTTTGATTTTGAAATGTATTTTTCTGACCAACTCGTGTGGTCTTGGTGTGTGCATAACTAAATTTTGTTTCTCTCCTTGCATTGACTGGCAGAAAGTTAGAGCTACATGTAAATCATGCCCATAGCTAACTGTGAACCCTGAACATTTGAGACAGGTCTCAGTTTATTTAGAAAGTTTATTTTGCCAAGGTTGTCACGCACACCCGTGACACAGCCTCAAGAGGTCCTGAGGACATGTGCCCAAGGTGGTTGGGGCGCAGCTTGGTTTTACACATTTTAGGGAGACATGAGACATTAATATACGTAAGAAGTACACTGGTTCCGTCCAGAGGGGGTTCCAGGTCATAGGAAGGTGAGAGACACATGGTTGCATTCTTTTGAGTTTCTGATAAGCCCTTTGAAGGAGACAGTCAGCATATGCATCTGTCTCAGTGAGCAGAGGGATGACTTTGAATAGAGTGGGAGGCAGGTTTGCCCTGAGCAGTTCCCAGCCTGATTTTTCCCTTTAGCTTAGTGATATTGGGGCCCAAAGGTTTTCCTCTCACATAACATGGGGGAGGTCCTGGAACGCACTCTTTGTGGAAACCTCCTTCCCATGCCACTGCCATTCCGATCCTTCTCTCTCTTGCTTCATATCTAAATGCTTTATAAATTTACCTGACTTTCTCATTTGTATTTGCAAATCAAATTAGCTCCTTTTTAGAATGTGTCAGGGAGTAAGTAAATAAGCAATACGAGATTGGTTTTCTGATACAGAAACATCCTTCTGCAGTGTCTTTGTTTAAGAGTATTTTCATATGGAATACTATAATTACCTACCCAAAGGATGGAAACATTTTTATGGCTCTTAAGATTTGGGTCAATTTATTTCTCAGAAGGTCACACTAACTGATAAATGCCCTCAAATAATCAATTCTTGCTTTACTGCATCCTAATCATAACAGTATATTTTAATTTTTAATGTATGTATTTGATTCAAAGAAATGTGCAAAAACTTTTAATTTAATTTACAATAGAGTTACTTTTTAAAATAGGTAGAAAGGAAAGATCGGGTTTGTGAAAATACTCTTTCTCTGCTTTCTACTGACGTCAGTTAGGAGGTTCGGTTATAGTCAAATGTTTTGAAACAATTTTAAGGAATTGAACTCACAAAAAGGCTCTTCCTAGGAGAGGAATACAAGTCCAGCCTAACTTTTTAAAGTCCTCATGAGCGTGGCTGCCTTTCCACCTGCCGAGCACCACGTATGCCCCACGGTGAAATCACACCTTTGTTGGGCTCTGAGATGCATTCACCTGCACTTCTGTCTACTCTCCTTGCATATAAATTATTTCCAGATGATTCTTTCAAAATCATAGGCCTGATTTATAGATTCCCAAATGAGATATTCTCCCCCGAAGAAATTTGTCATGTTAAAAAATGTGCAGTTGTTAGTCACTGATTCTAGGGAAAAAAAAAAAAAAAAGATTAACGGCATAAATCCATATTGATGTTGCCTATTTATCATTTGATTTTTAGAATATGTTTTTCAACCGGGCGCAGTGGCTCATGCCTGTAATTCCAGCACTTTGGGAGGCCGAGGTGGGCAGATCATGAGGTCAGGAGATCAAGATCATCCTGGCTAACATGGTGAAACCCCGTCTCTACTAAAAATACAAACAAAAAAAAAATTAGCCGGGCGTTGTGGCGGGCACCTGTAGTCCGAGCTACTCGGCAGGCTGAGGCAGGAGAATGGTGTGAACCTGGGAGGCAGAGTTTGCAGTGAGCCGAGATCGCGCCACTGCATTCCAGCCTGGGCGAAAGAGTGAGACTCTGTCTCCAAAAAAAAAAAGAATGTGTTTTTCCTAAAAATGCTGTGTGCACTGATGGCAATAAATAAATACTGTCTGACTATTTTCAGGATTTAAATTTAAATTTTAAATTTTAATTAAAATTTGGATTTTAACTTGCAATGTTTATACCAAAGGTTCTGAGTTTCTGTCATCTTAAAACTTAAAATTAACTTAATTTTCATAAAACTTCAAGTTGATAAACTGAGAAGGTCATCAATAGTACCTTAAAAATACTGTCAATCAGCCCAGGCAATGTGGAGAGACCCTGTCTCTACAAAAAAATTAAAAAATAGCCTGGCACAGCGGCCTGAGCCTGTTGTCCCAGCTCCTCAGGAGGCTGAGGTGGGAGGATTGCTTGAGCGGGAGTTTGAGGCGACAGTGAGCTATCATCACACCACTGCACTCCAGACTGGGCAGCAGAGCAAGACTTTATCTAAAAAAATAAAATACTATGAATACATATTTCAAAATTACATTTGCTTATGAAATAATTATTAAAAGTCAAATGTTTTAAAACAAGCATTCTTCTTTTGCTGTATTCTGATATATACATTTGGAAATTGTCAGCAGGTTATAAATTTGTGTCAAAGCAAAAATATAATCACCCAAAACCGTATAAAAGGTAAAAGAGAAAGATTGATTGGTTGGTTTAAATTAAGGAGCCCCTGATCTTGTTTCAAAGGAAACTCAGGAAGATATTTGGGAAACAATTATAATTACTTTTGTGAAGCGAAAAGTGTGTGTCACAAGGCAAATTTTCTAGCACAGAAAGTAAGGTATGACCTTTTGGCTTCAGGAATAATGAGATTAGGTTTACAACTGATAGCAGCTTTCTTTTGTGCTTTGGAAGTCATTGTTTTCTAATGTTACAATAAAGATCTGTTTTAAAGCTACTTATTTTGCCTATAAATAAGATGTCATTTGGTAATCAAGGGCAATTAAGTTGCAAATGTGCTCACCATAATGCTTAATCGAAAATGTAATGAAATTCTGAAAGAGTTGAAGAGTTGAACACCTGAGTTTAGAATCACAAAACTCCTTATGTTCACCTTGTACCAATCAAAAGACATCTATGAGCAGTTTTTCTTTAAAATTAGAACTTTGATATATGTGGAATCAGTGGGGATTTTTTTTAAAGATGTTTCTTAAAGATGGATTTTTTGTCCATCTCGCTATTGAACCTGCTGGTCTGAGAACCTGCTGGTCAAAGATTAATCACAAGGCTGTGTGTGTTTGTGTGTGCATGTGTGTGAGTGCACGTGTACGTGTGTGAGTGTAAGTGTGTGTGCGCGTGATGTGTGTGCGTGTGCGCACGTGTGCTTGCGTGTGTGTGAAATCAGACTTTGCACGACCCACTCTGGAACACATTATAAGAGTTAATGAAATCCTAAATATTAGCTGAGATTGTGTTGAATGGATGAAATCTTCTTGGCCAGCTCCATTTCCAAGGTGGCCTTTTGACTCCATTTGCCAGAGCGCACTGTTTTCGTGTCCCAAGCGTTCATTTCATTAAGCTCTTTCTGGTTGCAAAGGGCAGGCACCCGGAGCCACCTTCTGTAGGGCAAGGTCCTGTGGAGCCACGGGAGGAATCGAGGGAGGCAGGCCCTGTCTCAGCAAGTGCTGGCCGCTCCCCGACAGATGCCCAGAAGTCCCCCCAGGGGTAGTGGCCGCCTCTGTGAAGACACTCAGAGGGCTGGGCTGTAGCCCTGGTCATCACAGCCTCAGCCCTGGACAGCTGAATTGAGCCTGGCAGCTGAATTGTTCTCCATGTTGCTGTGAGCCCACTGACAAACTCCTGCCCTCAGTGTCTGGATTTCACACGCCCTGAGAAAGAGGATGTGATTTATCCTCTCAATCACCCACAAACATGAAATGCGCTTGCCTGGCCTCACCCCACGATGGGTCAGGAACGATGGCCAAGAGGGCAGGATTTTACGGGGCTGAGTGTGTCGACACACATGTTGTTCATGCTGTCAGATGGGCATGCCTAGCACAGACGTGTTCAAGCGGTCAGATGGGCATGCCTGGCACACACGTTGTTGTGAACTCTTGCATTGTTGGTAAGATGTGTGATGGATTTGGTTTTACCAAAAATGGCAAATGTGGAGTTATTTTTAAGGCATACTTCGTGTGCTATTTCTTGATGTGGTTTTATCACACAGTGTTGTTTTCGTCCACCTTGGTGCAACGGCCCTGGTGTTGCAAGAGGAGGTGAGCTCTGAGCAGAATTCTCACATATCTCCACTTAGGACACATTGTTGAGCATCGATGTGTGCCAGAGACTTGCAGGGCATTGAAGGCAGACAGTGGGCTGCCCTGTGCCGGCTCTCAGGTCCCAAGCCTGGATGACTAGGGCATGGACGGTGCTGTGGATGGATGGTGTTGGTGGTCAGCCAGCACAAGCACCACAAGCACTGCTCTGACATCCCTTGCGTGGCAGACACGTTGCCATCCTCTCCGAGGCTCACCTGAGAGTCTAGTGTGTCGGCTATAATGTAACAGTCATGACACGTGAGTAGCATTAGCCCCAGTTTCTCCATTAAAGGAATTAAACCGTTTGTGACAGTCAACTCGGTGTAGCAGGACAAGCACCTAGGGCAGGTGGGGGCACCCTGAGTATTCAGGAGAACTGTTGGTTGATGGAGTGGAAGAGACAGAAGCCAGGGCACCGTGGTTCTGGCTGGAACTTGGGCACCTACAAGCCATCTGAACTTGGGAAAGTCACCTTCTTGGAGCAGTAATGTTGTCATCTGCCAGTCATGGGTAGTGACTGACGACTTCCCGGGATTGTTAGCAGAACCACATGAAATCAGCACCATGCCGACGACCATGAAAACTGCCTCTCATTTCATACCCGAGAACCAATATCTTATTCATTCCTAAAAAAGGATTATCTAACATCCATGGGGTCAGATTAGCCATACAGAGGCAGGTGCATTAAAATTCTGAATTTTCAAGTGAACGAAAAGATCTTCCTTTTTCCATTCGGTAAACCAGAGCACCACCTTGATCTGAAAGCATTTTGAGCCTGGCGTGATGGACTTTGTGCTTCTGCGAAAGTGTAGTATAAATTCCATGGGGCCAGCCCTGCATCCTGACTGTCCCCGAGGGCTCTCTAGAGAAAGATGTCAAGGCCAGCCCTGTCCTCAGGTGCAGTCAGCAGACTCTGAATCTGAACCCGCGTTTGGTCTCATATTCATTTTGTCTCCCTTTTGCCCAAAGCATCCCATTCCTTTTCTGCCACTTCTCTCCCAAGTTTTCCCACCTCTTTATTTTTATTTCCATTCAAATATTTCACTTTGACACCATTGAACTAATTCCTCCCTGTAGGAGGCGCTGGCCAGGCCCAGGAGGCGACATGAGGGCATTCAGTGCTCACAGTCGCTAATATGTCATCTGCTTGCTGCGGGCCTGGCATGGTCTAGGATGTTTACCTCTGTTGGCTCATTTAATGCTCACCACGACCCTCCAAGGCCGGTACAATGATTACGGGCCCTTCACACCTCGGAGAAGTAGTCAGGAAGTCTCCCAAGGCAGCACCACTGGTATGTGGTATGTGGTATGTGGTATGTGGTGTGTGGTGTGTGGTGTGTGGTATGTGGTAGACCCCTGCAGCTCTGCAGCCTGGCTGTCAAGCCTCTGGGTTCTCCTGGAGCTTACGACCTAATGGGTGTGCATGCATGCATATGTGTGTACAAAAGCATGTGCATCTGTGTGTTTGCGTGTGCGTGCAAGTTTGTGCATGTGCATAATCATGCATGTGTGGTTACACATGTGCACATAGTTGTGTGTGCCTGTGTGTGTGGTGAGTGTGTGTTGGGGTGGAGGTGAACAAGGCAGGAAAATGGGGAGGCCATGACAGTTTTTATGTCATTAAAATGATTACCTATCCTTGAGTTCCAAATGATATCTGCCAAACCCTTCCCTGATTCTCCCATGCCTGCCACCACCACCCTGCCCCAGTCTCTCAGCTGCACCCCGTGTACCTCTCTCTGTCTGCAGGAAAAACCCCATTCCAAGGACTGGCTTACTCACCCTTTTCTGCTATTAGACTTTGAACACCAGATCTTGCTTCCGTAGGACAGGGACCATCCTGCTCATCTCTCTATCCCCAACATCTACTGTGGAGCCTGGAACTCGTGATGCCTGTGGCTTCATGGATGCAAGGATGGAAGGATAGATGGAAGGATGGATGGATGGATGAAAGGATGGAAGGAAGGAAGGAAGGAAGGAAGGAAGGAAGGAAGGAAGGAAGGAAGGAAGGAAGGACAAATGGATAAATGGATGGATGGAGTAAATGTCATAGGAAAAGTGCAGATAAAATTCTAATATTCAGAGAAAAGAGAGCTAAATTTAGGTGGGAGAGTTTAAGAAGATGCTCATAGGAGAAGAAAGCTCTTACAATGGGTCTTAAAGATGGATGGAGTGGCCATAAGTAAGGAGGTGAATCAGAGGAAGATACTGCGGGGGGAACAGAGAGCTGCTGTCCATGGTAAGGGCAGCTGTAGCCTCATGCAAAGTGCCTGCATTTGAGGATGAGAAGCTGGCCTGGGGCACCTGCAGGGCTCGGGGCTGCTGATGCTGCTGGGGCTGCCGAGGCACTCATGTCCCATGCAGCATGGCCTCAGTCCTCCCTGCATTCCCTGCCTTTTCTTCCTTTTCCTTCCTGTTTTCTCTCCCATTCATTCTCAATTCTCTCTTCTTTTTATCACTATCTGCATCCACCCAAATACACTTAACTAATTAAAATCTCTATAGTGTGTTCAAAAGTTATTTCTCACCTGCAGTACTCCCTTGAGCTCCAGGCTGTCCGTTCCCCCAATTTCATTATGCCCCCAAAAGGC
Organism: Homo sapiens; assembly: GCF_000001405.40. Taxonomy (NCBI): domain Eukaryota; kingdom Metazoa; phylum Chordata; class Mammalia; order Primates; family Hominidae; genus Homo; species Homo sapiens. The sequence continues at coordinate 243,895 of NT_187565.1, forward strand.
TGGGCACATTTTAAAACATGTTCTCTCCACAAACACAGAATTCCCTGAGCACCTAAGCAGAATTGAATGGAGAGGAAATGAAGAACATATTAACTTCCTCTTAGATCCCCGGGCTGATTTCTTTCAGGCTCAGGGCTCAGACTGCATGATAAGATAACCATTTTGTGAAAAGATGAAAGCTGCTCCGTGCAGGGCGCATTCTGTGCAGGTACAGAACAGATAGGGAGGGGCTTATGTCTCCGTCCCTCCTCCCCCGCTCCCATGCTCACCGCTTGCTTTCTGTTGCGAGTGTCTAGAATGCCCTGGCCCTCTTTTCTAGGAATTGGATTGTACCATTGTCATTCCAACCTCTCTTATCAGAGGCAAAGCCCCAGGGTGCAGCCCTCCCCGCAGCGTGGCCACAGCCACTCAGAACTCCAGAGAGTCACGCCCCGGGTGGACATGTGTGTGAATCATCAGCACAGCACCCTCAGATCCCCACCCTGAGGCACAGCCCCTCGTGTCATGACAGCTGTCACTCATCTTTTTTTTTTTTTTTTTTTTGAGACAGAGTCTTGCTTTTGCCTAGGCTGGAATGCAATGGTGCGATCTCCACTCACTGCAACCTCCACCTCCCAGGCTTCAGTGGTTCTCATGGCTCGGCCTCCTGAGTAGCTGGGATTACAGGTGCACACCACCACGCCTGACTAATTTTTGTATTTTTAGTAGAGATGGGGTTTCACCGTGTTGGCCAGGCTGATCTTGAACTCTCAACCTCAAGTGATCCACCTGCCTCAGCCTCCTAAAGTGCTGGGATTCCAGGCATGAGCCACGGCACCTGGCCTGTCACTCATCTTTTTTCGTTTGTTTTCATAACTAACAGCATGTCCACCAACAGACTCTGAGAGAGCTCAGGCAGCACATATTCTCTGGGACTTAATCGCTGCTGTTGGCCGGATGCCTTCCACATTGAGATGCAATCCACAGACAAGTTGTCAAGTCCATCTGGGTGAGGACTCCGAAGAGGAAAACAGGTTACCACGTGGTTAGCCACACCATTACAACACTGGCGACTGTTCCTATGATGGACGGCTCTAATCTCGGTGCACTGGGAGATAACAAGCCCATCCCCACGAGTTGAGTGAGAATTTAACTTGTGCCTGGAGCCAGAAGCGCGACGCAGAGTGGACTGGGGTGCACTGAGCCTTGCCAGGGTCCCGCACCCTCACCGGGAGCTGTGATGGGGCCACCTTCTCCCTCTCCAGGCCCCACTTTCCTGTTTGAAGGATGCCCGCCCTCACCAGGAGCTGTGAAGGGGCCACCTTCTCCCTCTCCAGACTCCACTTTCCTGTTTGGAGGATGCCGACAGCGAGACCTGCCCACATTGCATCGCTTTGCATGTCTAGCTGTGCTTGATATAGAAGACCTTCTGTGTGGATGTGTGACACACCTCAGAGCCAGCAGGTGGGACACAGCTGTGCCATGAGCACCACGGCCCGTGTCCTTGTAGGGCCTCCCTTCCCTGCCTTCTTCCTGTGCCCCCCAAGCCCCTCAGTCCATCCTCAACAGCCAGGGAGACCCCCTCAAGCATCAGTGGCTTCCCATCTCTTCTCTGCTCCTATGGCCTCCAGACTCAGAAGCCCAGCAAAGTCCTGTTATTATTGCCAGCCCCACCCTTCAGGACCCAGACAGGGCCTCCTCTTGCCTGCTCTCCCTGTGGTCCTCCTCCCTGGCAGTGCCGCCACAGGCACCAACTCAGAGCTGTGGACGCACCGTGCCTGGAACCCTCCACCCAGGACCCTCAGAGATACGTCCTACTTCCTTAGGTCTCTGCCCTGGTCAAGCCCTCCCCACCACACTTGTCCCAGCGGGTAAAGGCCCGAAACATGGGGTGATGAGCCCCTTGCCCCGCGTTTTTTAGAGTGTTTGTCACTGTCTGACGTTTGCCTGTTTATCTGTTTATTGCCGGTACCACCACCCAACTGAAGGCTTTGGAGCAGGGGCTGTTTCACTCACTGTCTACCACGGTACCTTGTTTGCAGCAGGTGCTTTGTAAATTTTGTTTGAATGGCTGGGTTGAGTCATTAATGAAAGAGAGGGAAAGGAAGGCAGGAAAACACTTTTAAAACTCATACCACAGAAGATCTATCTAAAACCTCTCCAATTCTGTAATTCTATGACCTCATGAGAAAAGAAAAAAAAACACCCACCTAGTGACCATAATGTAGCAAACTTCCTGCCGGGCTGGGCGCTGGAGTCGGGTGTGGCTGCACAGCTCTGCTGCCTTGCAGACCACTCCAGGGAGCTGCCGGGAGCTGGACGCATGCTGGTGTCTTACCCCACGGAGGGGGCATCACTGCGGACAGAGCCCAGCGTGGGCGGCCGTGACCAGCAGTGCTTCCTCTCAGAAGCTGCCTGTACCTTCTGGAAATATGAAATATGGCAACCATACAACCATTTCTGGATAATACAGTTCCACCTTTGAAAATGGTTTGAAACCACACAAACATCCAGGTCTCATCTATTTGGGGCTAAGATTTTAGAAACAGTAGAATTTTTCTTACAAAACATTTAAATAAGAAAGTACAAAGCGGCTCCTGTGAGCACAGCAGCAGAATCGTTTCCACAGAATTCGGCCCAGGGATCCACAGTTTGGTAACCAGCACAGGATTTTCTACAGAGCCCAGGATTTTCTACGGAGCCCTTCCTCTCAAGAGCATCAGAGTACTTGAGAATATTAACCATGTGTTATTCGGAGCAATTCCAGCCTTGGAAATTTGCGGAGGATGTAAACTTTGCCAACTAACCTAGGGGAGAGCTTCACCCAAATTCTTACCTCCACTGAGCCCCTAATGCACACTTCCTCTTTGTGTTTAATCCATTTATTTGTTTAATACATTTATTTATTCATTCCATTATCAAACATTCATTGAGACCTCTGTTGGTAGTTTAAGACATTCTGCTAAGTATACAGCATGACTCAGATTAAAATGGCCGTTGGAGACACAATATCAAACATAAAAACTAATGTAAGACAAGGCAGAGCATAAACCTGGTAGCTGCTGATATTTACTGATATCAGTAAATATCCTGAGCTGCACCCCAGAGGTATGGTCTTACTGTGCCTGGGATGATGTCCAGAAATTTGTCCTTTACACACTTCCTGGGTGATGCTGAGGTATAGCCTCGGTTTAAAGCCCTTTGAACTATGGAAAAATAAAGGCAAACCTCAAACAGATAAGGAAATGCAAGATCTCAGTGAGCTGTCCCAGGACCAGATCTTGGATCCCACGACTGGGAACCAGCAGAGCCCACTGGGTTCTAGAACCTCTGCCAGCTCACCCAGACGAGATCTAAGGATTTCCCTTAAGCTTTCCTCAGCAGTTATCTGGATGGTGGATTAAGTAACCATCAGCCATTTGTGTGTAACTCAAACTCACATTATCGGGTCAGTTAACAGATTTACTAATTTATACCTTGCTTCTTTTCATGAGGAACTGAAGCGAGAACAGAAACGTGTACAATGGAATGATGGAATGTCTACTGACTCCACAATCATGGTCACGGAACGTTAAGTGAGAATGAAGGCAAAGAAAAGAGATGTATATGACTGTCACAGGACCTTTGATTATTGATTTAAGAGCCTCAGATGTTTCTCTGAGCCATATAGTGATCAGAGCAACACAGGAAACAGCTTCAGCCACATTCTTTGTTCTGTGGAGAAGGAGGAGATTTAGAAGCAAAAAATAAACATAACTGCTTTCCTAAATGTTATGAAACAGATCTTTTCCTGAGTTCTAAAGCAAGTGAAGAAAAATTTTAAGTGAAGTGTGTCTATATTCAATTTTGAGTTTCTGTGTATGTCTTCCTTCATCACATGCGTGTATTTATTTTATTCGAGCTTTATGGGGATATAAGTCACACACCATAAAAGTCACGCTTTAGGATGTACAATTCGGTAGCATTCAGTAGATTTACAGGTATGTGCAACCATCGCTCTAATCAATTTAAAACATCTTCACCCCAAAAAGCAACCCTGTGCCTTAGCAGCCGCCTGCCCTCTCACCTACCCTGATGCTGGGAATCAACAATCTGTTTTCCATTTTGAGATCTGCCTGTTCTGCACACTTCATATGAATGAAATTGTACATTGGTGGTCTTTTGTGACTGGCTTCTTTCCCATGGCATAAGGTTTTGAAGGCCCTTCCCTGGTGCAGCACGTTTCTGGGCTTAATTGGTTTTAATTGCTGAAAACATTTCCATTGTGCGGTACAGCCCCCATGTTTGTCCATTCATCCGTCGGGCAGCATTGAGGTCGTCTCCACTTTTTGGCAACTATGAATGATGTCGCTGTAAGCATTCTTACACAGGCTTTTGCCTGGATGTGTTTTCATTTCTCTTGGATGTGCACCTCGGAGTAGACTCACTGGGGCTTTTGGTGACTCTGTGTTCAGCCTTTTTAGGACCCTCCAGCCTGTTCTCCCTTCCCCAGCAGCGTGCGAGGTTCCAGTTTCTCTGCATCTTCATCAAGCTTTGGAACTGTGTCCTTTTCCCTCTGTCCACTCCAGGGGGCTTGAGTGGTACCGCACTGTGGTTTTGATTTCATTTCCCTACTGGTGAGTGATTCTGAACGCCTTTCTGTGTGCTCTTTCGCCGTTAGGACATCTTCTTTGGAGAAATATTCAGCTCCTATGCCCATTATTATTTGGATTATTTGTCTTATTATAATGGAGTTGTCAGATTTATATATTCTGGATTCAAGTTCCTTCACAAATACGTGATTTACAAAAATGTTTCCCATTCTGTGGATGGCCTTTGCATTTTTTTGATGGCATCTTTTAAAGCATAAAACTTTTTAATTTTAGGTAGTTTATTTTATCTATATTTTTTCCTGTGCTTTGGTGACATGTCTAAGAAACCATTGCCTGGTTCACAGTCACAAAGAAATGCATCTATGTTTTCTACAAATAGCTTTATAGTTTGAGCCCTTTTCTGTCTTTAAGCCACTTTGAGTTCATTTTTGCAGATTTTGTAAGATGGGGGTTAAATTCATTGTTTGGTGTGTAGAAATTGGGTTATCCTAGCATTATTTGTAGGAGAGACTATTCTTTCCCCTCTGGGTGACCTTGTCTCCCTTATCAAAAGTATCACATGTGCAGGTGCATGTCTGGACTCCAGTTCAGTTCCATGGGTCCATGTGTGCATCCTTGTGTGGGGCCCCACCCTTTTGATTACTATCACTTTGTGACTCTTGGGATCCATAAGTGTGAGTCTTCCAACCTGGTTCTTCTCTTTCAAGATTGTTTTTGCTTCTCAGGACCCATTGCATTTCTATATGAATTTGAGGATTGGCTTTTGCACTTCTGCAAAAAAGCCATGTGAGGTTTTGACAGGAATTTCAGGGAATCTCTAGGTCACTTGGGGTAGGACCTACCTCATCTTAACCATTAAGTCTGCCAATCTATGAACATAGGATGTCTTTTCATTTACGTAAGTCTTGCTTAATTTCTTTCAGTAGCGATGTTTTCTAGTTTTCAGTGTACGAATCTTTCACGTCCTTTTTTTCTTTTTTTTTTTAAGAGACAAAGTCTCACTCTGACACTTAGGCTGGAGTGCAGTGATGCAAGCTTGGCTCACTGCAGCCTTGAACTCCCAGACTCAAGCAATCCTCCCACATTAGCCTCCCAAGTAACTGGGACTACATGTGCCTACTACTATGCCTGGCTAATTTTTGTATTTTTTTTTAAAGACAGGGTTTGCCATGTTGTCCAGGCTGGTCTCAAACTCCTGGGCTGAAGTGATTCCCCCATCTCAGCATCCCAAAGTGCTGGGATTACAGGTGTGAGTGACTGCGTCTGGCCCTCTTTTACCTCCTTGGTTAGGCGGTCCCAGGGACTTTATTCTTTTAGATGTTATTTTAAGTGGAATTGCTTTTCTAATTTCCTTTTTGGGTTTCTCATTGCTAATGTATAGAAATACAATTGATTTTTTATTTTGCTCCTGTAACCTGCTCCTTTGCTGAGCAGCAGTGAAAGTGGGCATCCTTGTCTTGTTCTCTTCTCACAGGGAGAGCTTTCAGCCCTTCAGCATTGAGTATGATGTTAGCTGTGGGTTTCCCATAAATGCCCATTATCATGTTGGGGAAGTTCCCTCCAGTCCTAGTTCTCTGAGTGTTTTTATCATGAAATAGTGTTGTACTTTGTCACATGCCTTTTCTGTATCAATTGTGTTGAGTATGTGGCCTTTTCCCCTTTGTTCTATTAAAGTGATTTATTACATTGATTGATTTTCCTATGTTGAACCACCCTTGCATTGCTAGGATAAATTCTACATAGTCACTGTATATAATTCTCCTCATATGCTGCTATATTTGATTTGCTAGTATTTTTGAGGATTTTTTTTTTTTTTGAGACAGAGGTCTCACTTTTGTCGCCAGGCTGGAGTGCAGTGGTGTAATCTTGGCTCATTGCAACTTCTGCCTCCCGGGTTCAAGCGATTCTCCTGCATCAGCCTCCTGAGTAGCTGCGATTACAGGCATGCGCCACCATGCCCAGCTTATGTTTGTATTTTTAGTAGAGATGGGGTTTCACCATGTTGGCCAGGATGGTCTCGATCTCTTGACCTTGTGATTCACCCATCTCAGCCGCCCAAAGTGCTGAGATTACAGGCATGAGCCACCATACCTGGACTATTTTTGAGGCTTTTTGCATCTCTATTTATAAGGGATATTAATCTATAGTTTTCTTTTCTTGTCTTTATCTGGCTTTGCTAGCAGGGTAATTCTGGCCCTGATAGAATTACCATAGAATGGGCTTGGAAGCATTCCTGCCTATTCTAGTCCTGGGAGACTTTGAGAGGGATCGGTGTTAATTCTTTTTTAAATATTGATAGAATTCACCTGTGACACCATCTGGTCCTGAACTTTTCGTCCCACAAGCACGGCGTGCACCCTGTAAACATTTGCTGCATTCTTCATATTTTTATTGTTATACTTACAATATGCTATTTAGATTGGGTAGGCCGGCCGCCCCATAAGTGCAACAGTAAGACGTGCATTTACATTCTATTCTGAATTTGGGGAGATGGTTGTACGTTCATGAATAAATGACTATAATTGCTGTTTTCTCTCAATGACAAAAATGGTGTCATGAAGCAGTGGAAATTAGGAAACTAAGATGCTTTCCGCATTTTGTGTTTGCTACCTCATTTTCACAAAAAGAAATTACCAGCCCCTAAGTATTTATTACACATTGTGCACACCTAAAAAACCCGGAGACCTAGCTTAGTGCTCGTTACATGTTCTAGTGTTGCCATTGTTTACAGCACGCTGCCATTGTCATTATTGTGATAATATTTTAAAGTACATGTTTCCATGCATCCATCAGGAAATCCAGTCCTGTATAGTGGAAATGAGAATGTGGTATCAACATGTGGCATAATCAAATTTAATTCATTTCAGTTAAATTTTATCTTTTATGCCATTCTTTTATGAAGCCACATTCATAACATAGCTTCTAGGCTAAACATTAGGCAGAAGTAGGATACGTGAGTGGGGCAGTAATGGACTCTCTTTTTAATATGAAGGAAGATTAAAATTGTATTAAATTACACGTTAATGGAAAAACAAAGCAAAAGATAATAGGATGACAACTTTATGCAGCTGTAAAGTCTGGATTACAGCACATAGTTTTGCTATTTAGCAGTTGAATATTGAATTTCATTTGAAAATTTGCTTTTAATTATATTAAAATAATATCTAAATATTCCCCCAATATATTAAAGTGCTCTCATTATAATTTGACTGTTTGAGAAAGGAAGACGCCGCCGGCCATTACAGTGTAGGTGCTCCTGTGAGACAGCGTAGGCACCTGAAATATAACACAGTGAGGCTCACCTTGAAGTTAAAGGATCTCTTTATCCTTCAACTGGGGACTGTTTACTGTGAGAATATGCAGGAGCAATCCCTTTGCTGGCCTCAGTGGGAGAAACAGCCCCACACCTTGCTGTCAGTCTCTCGGGATCCCTCAGGAAATCTTTACGTTCCCTTCTGCATTCACACCTGGGTGTGAGAAGCCGGTCCCTGACTTCCCAGGGACTCATGAAATCGTATCCCTTCCTTATCCCATGTTTCCATGGCCATGCTGGCCCAGACGGCTGGCCGTCCTGGATCCTGAAATCTGCGACGTTTTGAGGCCATACCTAGGACTAGTCACTTGGTAAACATTATCAGCAGGGGATTTTGTTGTTGTTGTTTGTTTGTTTTTGCCTTGGTTACCTGGAGGGTTGGGGTTGGACACGATGGGAAAACTCTCACTCCCCATCACTCTGCTTGCTTTCCCTGGCATCCATGTTGCTCAGGGAGTCAGAGTGGGTGGCTCTCCAAGCGCAGGGCATGATGGACTCACCCCAAGACTGCAAGCAGGGGTGCATCTCAGGCTGCTTAGGGTGGTGGCGAGAGAGGAGCAAGTGGGAGAGACGCTTATGGTGACGGGAGAGCTGGCAGGCAGGAATTCGTTCCGGGATCCGAGGCATGGAGGTGGTCCAGGAGAGGCAGGTATTGGACAAACGTGTGGGGGGATAGTTCCCTTCCTGAGGAGACGGCCACGCTCAGCCGTCGAGGTGGCCACTTCTTGCTCCTGTCTGGGTCTTTGGCCTCGAGGACGGCACACAGCAAGGCCGAGTGGTGTGGAGCCGGGTCTTGGAGTGAATGCAGGGATGCATTCCAGGCCTGGGAGGAGAGGCGGCAGGACCCGGGCAGCGACATCTACAAATGACGGCAGCCGGGTGTGCTTAAGGCTCAGCAGACTCACAGGGACGTGCGGACCGTGGGGCAGAGGGAGGCTCGGCAGCTCCTCTGGTCATCACAGAGCTTGGACGTCTGGTCTGGGCCTGGCACTGCTGCGGGATGGCCCGTGGCTGTCACAAGGAAGGCAGCTGTGCCCGCAGGGAGCTTGCTGTCCTAGATGTGGCCCTGGGTGACAGGCTGAGAAGAACAGGGCTCCCCTAAAAGTTGGTGGATGGGCTGGGGTGCATTTGAGGGGGTCAGCCCCACAGCTGTGTCTGGGTGGAGGCAGGGGGAGAGGGAGAGAGAGGAGGAGGCCATCGTGATGGTCCTGGTGACAAGGAGGAGGGTCTGGGGCAGGAGGGGCCTGGGATGGAGGAGGCAGATGTGGGGTTGAGGGGGGCCTGCCAGAAGGAGGAAGGTGTGAGTGCAGAGACCAGGGGAGCAACAGGCCGTGGAGCTGGCAGATCCTCCTTCTCTGCAGGTCACCCCAGCGCCCAGCCGCCTTCCCAGGGAGAGAGGAGAGAGCAAGCGACCTGCCCCTTGGTGGCTCAGTGGCCATAAGACAGGTGGTGCTTTGTTGTAGCCACAGCCTCGCTCCTCCAGGCATTCAGGGAAAGCCCATCACAGGCCGCAGAAGGACACAGGGAGGAGTCAAGCGGGATTCCTCTGGGGAAGGAGGCACAGCTGCCCCCACACAGATGGGACCTCGAGAAAGCTCCTCCCATCCTCACTGGCCTGTAAGGGTGTGGACTGAACAAACGATTTCACGATTAATACCTGTGTATGTGATACATGAGCTTACTAGACAATATCACCCATCAAGTACCAGATGCTATTTTTAAAACTTCTTAAGCTGTACGACAAAACTGAAATCTATGTGAAATACAACTATGCTTTTCCCCCAAATTGTTAATTTCCTTTAATACCACAAAATCCGGCTGTCAAGAGACCTGTTCAATCTACTAGATGCTAAATCTTGGTCATTAACCATTTGGGAACATCAGTGTTTCCTCTCCACTCCTCACACTTTGCGATATAAAAACAACTGCCTGGCCGGGTGTCCTGGCTCATATCTGTAATCCCAGGACTTTGGGAGGCTGAGGCCAGTGGATCACCTGAGGTCAGGAGTTTGAAACTAGCCTGACCAACATGGCGAAACCTCGTCTCTACTAAAAATACAAAATTAGCCGGGCGTGGTGGCAGGCGCCTGTAGTCCCAGCTACTCGGGAGGCTGAGGCAGGAGAATCGCTTGAACCCGGGAGGCGGAGCTTGCAGTGAGCCGTGATCGCGCCATTGCACTCCAGCCTGGGCGACAGAGCGAGACTGTCTCAGAAAAAAAAAAAAAAAAAAAAAAAAAACCCACAAATCTGCCCTCTCGAGTGCCCAGGCCAGACATGGACACTGATTAATGAAGTCCACGGTGGGGGTCACATATTCCCCGCACCTGAGGGTTTCCGCCGCGCTTCCGGGTGTTCAATGCCGTTTCTGTTTCCCCACAGACCCGCAGTACTCATGGTCGCCCACGCAGCACTTCAATGAGGAGCGCTACTCGCCCGCGCCCAGGAGCATGAAGGGCCTTTCCGGAAGTCGGACCCAGCCGCCGCTGTGTTCCGGGCACACGTGTGGTCTGGCGCCCCCGGAGGACTGCGAGCACCTGCACCACGGGCCCGACGCGCGGCCGCCCTACCTGCTGAGCCCCGCCGACAGCTGCCCCGGGGGGCGCCACCGCTGCTCGCCGCGCAGCTCGGTGCACTCGGAGTGCGTGATGATGCCGGTGGTGCTGGGCGACCACGTGTCCAGCAGCACCTTCCCGCGGATGCACTACAGCTCGCACTACGACACGCGCGACGACTGCGCTGTGGCCCACGCGGGCGCCAAGATCAACCGCATCCCGGCCAACCTGCTGGACCAGTTCGAGAAGCAGCTGCCGCTGCACCGGGACGGCTTCCACACGCTGCAGTACCAGAGGACGTCCGCGGCCGCCGAGCAGCGCAGCGAGAGCCCCGGGCGGATCCGCCACCTGGTACACTCCGTGCAGAAGCTCTTCACCAAGTCGCACTCGCTGGAGGGCTCCTCCAAAAGCAACGCCAACGGCACCAAGGCGGACGGCCGGGCGGACGACCACCACCACGCCCACCACGCCAAGCACAGCAAGAGGAGCAAGAGCAAGGAGCGCAAGCCGGAGGGCAAGCCCCGGCCCGGCATGAGCAGCTGGTGGAGCTCGGACGACAACCTGGACAGCGACAGCACCTATCGGACGCCCAGCGTGCTCAACCGGCACCACCTGGGCCCCGTGGCCCACTGCTACCCCGACGCGCTGCAGAGCCCCTTCGGGGACCTGTCCCTCAAGACCTCCAAGAGCAACAACGACGTCAAGTGCTCGGCCTGTGAGGGGTTGGCGCTGACGCCCGACGCCAAGTACCTGAAGCGCAGCTCCTGGTCTACGCTGACGGTCAGCCAGGCCAAGGAGGCCTACCGCAAGAGCTCGCTGAACCTGGACAAGCCGCTGCTGCACCAGGACGCCAAGCCCGCCCTGAGGCCGTGCCACTACCTCCAGGTAAGCAGGCTCACGGCCCTGTGGAGGCCGTCTCGGCACAGCAGGTGGTATTGTCGTTATTCCTTTTTTAATTGACAGATAACAACTGCATACACATTTAGGTTGTGCAACAGGATGTTCTGAGCTACGGATATGTTCTGGGACAGCTCCACTGAGCTGTTAACACACGCATTACCTTACATACGTAATTTTTTTGGTGGGAGCACTTAAAATCCACTCTGGATGATTTCCACCTATTCAATACGTGGTTGTTAACTGCAGTTACCGTGCTGGCCAACAGGTCTCTTGAGCTGACCCCTCCTCACTGAAATGTTGTCCTTTGACCAACATCTCCCAATTCTTCCCCATCCCCAGTCCCTCTGGTAACCACGGTTCCACTCTCTGCTCCTATGAGTTCAGCTGTTTCAGATGCCACCCGTGAGAGGGACCATGTGGCCTCTATCTGTGTGCGCCGGGCTCATCCTGCTTTGCAGTTTCTTCCAGCTCACCTGTGTTGTGGAGAATGGCAGATCTCCTTCTTTCAAAGACTGAGTAGTGTCCCCTGTGTATGTACCGCATCTTCTTTATCCATCATTTGCCGGGAGACTCGAGGATTGACGGCACGCTATGGCTTTGTGCGCGGGGCTGCAGGGATGGCGGGACGTTATCTACGGGCAGCTCTCATGCGTGAGTCTGGCCTGCTCTGGGAGGGCCTCTGAAGATCCCGACTCCTCCTTGGAACCATCCCTCTAAACACAGTGGGCCATTTCTTTAAGGCCTCTAAGGCTGGAGGGTTTAACAACCACAGCAAACACAGACTTGCCCATGTGGGTGTTTTCCATGTGAGAGCTGATGGACCGGCCTAATGGAAGTGGGCCTGCGACATTCGTGAGTTCACTCCCTGCACCTGGCCACAGCCTCTCTAAGCACCCCCCACTACAAAAAGCCTGATTATGGAAAAGGCCTCTGTGTCTCTGGGGTGTGGATTAAATGAATTTACCAAAGGCAAAAACAAAGAAGGTAGATCCCTAGAGCTGGCATATTGCAGAATTCCCTGTTTTATGTGATTTCACTCTCTGTCTCTGAATTGTGCCATGCCTGAGTTTACTGGAGAAGCTCTCTGGGAGGCACACGCTACTTCTGAGGATGCCACTCAGTGACTTCCATCAGTCGATAGCGCTGTTAAAAAAAACATAACATGTGTGTCCCAACTCACAAATCACTCTTGCTTGCCTAGAGCAGCGGCTGTGGGCCTCGCATCAGCTTAGAGACATCTTCATGGAGTAATGGGCCATTGCTGGCTGAGCCAACAGGCAGTCAACTAATGGGACAGGGGGACTAGCAGCCGTGATTCTTTCTGGGAGTCGTGGTGGCAAATCCTTCCAGTGGCACCGTCACCATCAGGTCCAGCGTCCACATCTCAACAGCTCTGTTTTGAAAGGAAATGCTAACCAAATTGCCTTTGCAGGCAGATTTATTCAGAGACAAATTGGTAGTTGCATAAAATATTATTTTATAGCAATGGAAGAGGCATAAATTTTGTTTGCCGTCGGCAAACCCTAATCATATCCAAATGTAAAAGTTGTGTCTGCTTGTTTAGAGAAGCCTGGTAGAAAGAATCGGGGTTCACTCTGATCTGTCTCCTCATTGTCACAGACACATAGCTCTCTTGTTTTTGTCTGTGCCTGGTGTGGATAGTCAGTGTTCCCTGAATGAGCACTTCAGGACACTGTCAGAGCCTCCAGGTTTTGCCCCAGGGTCACCTGCCTCCAATGCCTGCCACTCTCCCCAAGCCCCTCCAGCTGCGCCTTCTCCACAGGTCCTGTGCCCCTTGGACCTGCCTTCTCCAAGGAGCTTCTTCCACCCACTTCCTCCCAGGAACACGCTTCTCTCTGCCTCCAACAGCTATTCCACGGTCTAGGTGCAGGGAATACCAGTCGTCCACAAAGGTGAAGTGAGACAGAATGAACCCACACACCGTCAGCCCCTTTCAAAAACCATCCCTCCGAAAGTGACCTCATTCCATCTGCACTCACGCCTTCCCACCCAGGCTACACTGCAACAAATCCCACACGACAGACAGATACAACTGTAAATATGCCTGTGTTGATCTCCCAGAGATCCACACGGAATGATGAGTACGCTTTCTTTTGAAACATAACCACCTGCATTATATCATCCTGGTCAGTGGTCACATTCCCCTGAGGGCTCACTGTCTCTTGTTGGCTTTTATTTGAATCAGGATCCAGAGAAGGGGCCCGCCTGGCAGCTGCTGATGAGCCTCTTCATCTCGTTCAGCCCGAGGTTTCTCCTCTCTTTCCTCTCTTCCTCCCCCTAGATTTTTTTTGTTTGGAACCAGCTGGTTGGTCTGATTGTGTCTGTCAGTCTGAGTTCCGTGCCATGGGGTCATTCCAGACACTCTGGTCCTGTTGTTCTGCAGCCAGCCACCCACTCCTGGACTTCCCTGCCCTGACGCCACTGGCCTCCCTCTCACGTCCACTCAGATGACACATCCTCGGAAACAACACAGAGCGTTATCGTGCCGACATTGGGAAGCACTGCCCGGAGGATCGGAGGATAGAAGGACGTCTGCAGGGAGCAGCCACGGCTTTCATGGCGCTCGTTCACAAGGGCGTTTTCTTGCAGTAGCAAGCTTCCCCCATCCCCACATCCGCCTCCCAGTGAAACCACCTCTTCGGGGCATGCAGCTCGGTGACTTCTCTCCCCTCCTCACTGTCCCCCAGTGGTTGCTGCTGGACCCCTCATGGAAGGATCTATGAAGCTGAATATCAGGAGCTGTGTGCAACCTCCTCGGGCTGTTTCTGTCCTAGGACTCAGCTGGATTGACGTCTGGCATTTTCAAAGATGCCTGTGCAGGGCTGTCCCTTCCTGTCAATTGCATTAAACTTTCTGGTGGAAAACTACAGGTTTCTGGGTCCTCACAACCCCAGATTTTATTTCGCAGCCAGGAAACAGGGAAACTAAAGGAATTTGTCTGTGGGTCCTAGTGTACGGATAAGATTTAAAAGAATAAGAAGAGAGAAATAAATGTTTATAAATTTTCTTCCTTTTTTCACTAGGAGCACTTGCAGCTGAACGACAGGATCACTTTTCATTTTCACCCTTGGTTTGTACAGAGTATGTGGTTCACATTAGAGGAAGATTTTTTTCTTGTTTTTAAGTAGGTCAAAACGGAGAATAAGTGGAATTGAAAGGCAATTCAGGCCTCACGTTATTCTTTCACAAAGCTCTTGTTTTCATCTTTTCTGCATCAGCAGACTAAGCATCTAAGGTCAAACTTTTCATGAGCATTGTAGGAATGCAGAACGGATTCGCCGTGGCTTAGCTCAGGATGCCAAAGGCTCTCTATGCCACAGTCCACCGAAACTCCCAGGGACGTGCAGGGAGGGAGAGACGCCGCCTCCCCGGGAAGGCTCCTGGCGGCATCAGATGGAGGGACAGCGGGGCCCCTGCTGCATCCCAGAGAAGACCCGGCAGCCCCTCCAGCCCTCGGCCTCTGTCCCCGCCTCCTTCCCTCCTGTCCTCAGGCCTCCTCTCTGCAGCCTCCCAGTCTCCCACCGCGTCCTGCGCTCCTGGTTTTCTCCTCTTCTAGTGTCTTCCCCACCTGGCGTCGCCCGGCCGCAACCCTGGCCCTCCTGGGGAAGAGGTTCGGACCCTACTCTTTATTTGACATGAAGAGGTTCGGACTCCCAGTTTTATTCGGCATGTTCACGGGCAGCAGCCCCATTTTGTTTGGCGTGTTCACGGGCAGCAGCCCTGTTTTATTCGGCGTGTTCACGGTCAGCAGCCCCGTTGTGCTTGGCGTGTTCACGGGCAGCCCCGTTAGACTTTGGGTTTTACCTGTCAGGCTTTTTACATGTTCACGTGTTGGAAGCAAATGGCAGAAAAGAACACAGAGGGGAGGGGGTGCGATGAAAACGGGGAGCCCTGAGCATTCCCTCCCTGCGTGTAAAGTGTTTCAGAACCTCTCCCTGCTCCCGCCCTCTGCAGCCGGTCCCATCACTGAGTACTGACCTTTCCTTGCAGCCATTCGCTGAAGGACGTGTTGCGGGTCCCATCACCGAGTTCTGAGCTTTCCTTGCAGCCATTCTCTGAACGACGTGTCTGTTTTGTAGGCCGTGCAGATCCCTGGCTTTCAGGCTCAGCTACTGCATTTGTGAGGTTTCCAGTTAGGTACAAAAACACATCTTAAAAGTCCCATCTCCCAGGTCAACAGGTCATCCTTGCGGTGTAGTTTAGAAAAATCATCCATCTTTTACAAAATGGAGCCAGGCTCCCCTGTTTCTTGTCTCTACAATAAGCATTTAAAAGGCTTGTCACAGGGCCAGGCACGGTGGCTCACACCTGTCATCCTAGCACTTTGGGAGGCCAACGCAGGTGGATCACCTGAGGTCAGGAGTTCAAGACCAACCTGGCCAAAATGGCAAAACCCTGTTTCTACTAAAAATACAAAAACTAGCCAGGCCTGGTGACAAGTGCCTGTAGCCCCAGCTACTCAGGAGGCCAAGGGCTGAGAATTGGTTGAACGTGGGAGGTGGAGGTTGCAGTGAGCCAAGATCACGCCACTGCACTCCAGCCTGGGTGACAGAGCAAGACTCCATCTCTAAATAAATAAATTAATTAAATAAATAAATAAATAAATAAAATGGTTTGTCATGGAATGCACGATGCTGGCCATTTGCTTCTTTCTGCCCGATCTGGGGTGGAACCTGAGTCTCATCAGAGTTGGGTGTGGTGGCCTGGGACAGCCTGGGCCACCTCTGGCCCTCCTGCCACAGGCCCACCTCCACATGCTGGGTGACCCCTCCCTGCTGGTTTCCTTCACGCCCTCAGCTCAGCTTGGCCTCCACCTTGACCTTTATTGAGGGTCCCTCTGCTGCCCATCTGCCTCCTGAGCCCGGGTCCTGTCTTTGTCCCGCTTTGCCCCTGTATCTAGGAGGGTCCAACACACTCAGTAACAATTAGCGAGGGGCACCTGTATCCTGCAGCGTTCCAGAGGATGCTGGCTTGAGCATAAGGGTCTCTCCGGGCACCTAGGTGTCCCATGTTCCAGAACTTGGCAAGCAGGAAGGACCCACGCGCCCCAGCCCCCCCTCCCCCGCGCCCACCACCCTCACGGTATCCCCACCAGTTCAGGAAGGCTGGCGTTGTGGCTTATGGGGTGCTTTCAACTCCAGAAAACCAATAGTTCTAACAAGCTTCTCAGAAAACTTCTCTGTATTTGTAGTTTTAGGGGCAAAAGAGGGAGAAAGGAGATTGCTGTGGTTGGTTCCTATCCTTAGCGATACCAGTGCTCAGCAGAATGAAAGAACTGGCCAGCCTGGCTGTGCTCCACTCTAATGCACGTTTGCAATTTGAAAGGAGGGCTTTTGTTTTAAGTGGCTCATGGTATAGATCTGGGGCCGTGAATGGATAGGAGAGTTGGGGTGTGGCCACACCTCACTTCCAATCCCGTAGTGGAATAGCAGGTCCGGGAGGAGCTTCTCATCCCCTTTTAAGCCACTCTGGACACAGACGCACAACCCTGCACAATCCTTCCGCAGCCCCTCGAGTTTCTGGTCTGGATCTCTCCTGCACTGACACCCAGCCACCAGCTGCCCCATCCATCCAGTGTGAGTCCTAAAACGCCTCCTTGAGACAAAGCGGTGACCTCCGCTTCCAGGAGCCACGTGTGCCTGCCCCCCACACTCTATGTTCCCTGTCCTGTGGCCCAGGCCACACCATTTCCTGACTGCAAAGCCTGTGTTGTGAGGGGCTCCTCCACAACTGCCCTGCCTCTGGGCCACCGCTTCCCCCCGGCCCCGACTGCCACAGAATCCTCTCCCACCTTGAGTACCGTCACACAGGGCTTGGCAGGATCTCGCTGGTGCTCACCGAGCCCGTTCGTGTAATCAGGGACCGTCTGCAGGAGTGCAGGAGCTGGGCCTGTGCCTTCGAGCCTCTCACTGTCTCCCCGGCTGGACTCCTCCATCACCCCCCAGTTGTCCTGGGACTCGGTGTGTCATCGCTGGGAGCAGCTTGGTGCCGGGCAGGCAGGGAGATCGCTGGGCTGTGTCACATCTCAGTGACATCATCTTAGGACCCAACACATTCTTATCCCCATGACGGAAATTCCAGCAATGTTTGTTGAAATGCTGATGGATGTTGAAGGGTGTCTGGTTTTGGGTTGTTGGCTAGCCTTGTGTCTGGTAAATCTTTCTGCCTCTTCAATCCTTCACGCCTCCGTTTGTGGTGAGATTCAAGACAGTGTTCCGAAAAGCACATTGGAAATCATAACTCATGTGAACATGGAACACTGGGTGGGTGCATGCGCTGTTTTATCCAGGTTTACCAGGGGAGAATGACATGGCCTACATGTAACTCAAGATGGTCGTGGATGCAGAGACCTCATGGTGACTGGGTGCAGAAACCTTGTGACCTGTGACTGGGTCCTTGGATTCTGTGATCTAAGACCCTGAGGAACCATCTGCATTTATGCCATGACGGCCACCGAGTGGTCACCTTGTTCTGGGCACAGTGCCCTCAACTTGGCAGCTGAGGCTCTGCTTCTGCAGGAGTGCAGGTAGATGGGGTCCGGCTCTGTCCTCTCCCTCCCAGGGCAGATGAGGCTCTGCTCCTGTGGGTGTGCAGGTGGGCGGAGTCCTGCTCTGTCCTCTCCCACCCAGGACAGCTGAGGGTCTGCTCCTGCAGGAGTGCAGGTGGACGGGGTTTGGCTCTGACCTCTTCCTCCCAGGGCAGCTAAGGGGTCTGCTCCTGTGGGTGTGCAGCTGGGCGGAGTCCGGCTCTGTTCTTTCCCTCCTAGGGCAGTGGATGCCCCAGGCTTGTCTGTTCCCGCTGAGTCTGTGTCTCCTGCCTCAGACTTGGTGGTCCACATGCAGTACTGCTCTGTGAATGATCCTGGAAGGGCTGACCCAACCCAAAGTACAGCAGGACTAGGAGCTGTTGGAGCTCAGGCCGGTGAACTGCAATTTAAGTTATCCCTTGTCTGTCTTGGTGTTAAGGAGTGGAATGGAATCAAGTTTGTCCTTAAGAAAATAAAGTGGGCAGCTGAACTCTAAACCTAACTCTGACTTGGTTTCAGTGGCTCAGAGGAAAAACCACAACAAACAAACAGGAAAGGAAAGACTTCCCACCCAAGCTAAATTGTTGTAGGGACACCAGGGTGGATTTGAGCAGCATCGCGAAGATCTCTTCAGCTGAGATGTACATCCCGGGAGGCAGCAGCCATGCACCCAGCATTTCTCAAGCTCAGCACAGCGGGATGGGGGCTGGGAGATGCTTGTGGGGTCGGTCTTATGGAATGGGGGATGTTGAGCACAGCCATGCACCCAGCGTTTCTCAAGCTCAGCACGGGGGTGGGGGCTGGGAGACGCTTGTGGGGTACGTCTTATGCACTGGGGGATGTTGAGCAGCATTTCTGGGCTCCACCTACTACCTGCCGGAAGCACCCCCATTTAGTGACAACCAAACATATCTCCAGATGTCACCAAATGTCCCCTGGGGGCAGAATTACCTGGTTGGGAACTGCTGGTGTCATCCAAAGAGCGTGAGCTTTAGAACAAGACAGACGCGTGGAACCTTCTCACAAGCTGTGCAGCCGGGGGGCTCACAATAGGGGCTTTCCATGGAAATAAATGGCTATAACTGTGCCTGCCTGACCTCCCTCAGGGTCCCGGAAAGAGCCCCTGGTGAGATGGACGTGCCGATGGCCACGGGTGTCCTCTCAACAAGGAGATGGTGGCTGAGGGGTGAGGACACAGGATGGGGCAGAGGGCAGGGGTGAGCAGCGGGGACAGGTCTCGGCCGATTCTGAGAGAACTCAGGTGCTGTGTGAACTCAGGGGTCTCCGCACCGAGGCAAGGAGTGGCCGTCCTGCCTTCATGCCGCCAGCCTGGGTGGTGCGTGAGTCAGCTCGGGTGCCATGACGGGCATACACACCCGGGGGGCGTGTAAAGGCACATTCATTCCGCAGGGTCCTGGTGGCTGGTGCCCAAGACCGTGGAGTCCCAAGGCCAGCTCCTGCTGAGCCTCTCCTGGGCACGCAGACGCCGTCCTCTCCCCATGTCCTCATAGGGTTGCCCCCTCTCTGTCTGTCTGTGACCTCATCTCCCCTTCTTAGGAGGATACCAGGCAGACAGGATCAGTGCCCACCCTGGTGACCTCATTTTACCTTCTTCACCTCTGTAAACGTCCCATCTCCAAATAATCACATTCTGAGGTCCCAAGGGTTAGGGTTCAACATAGGAATTTGGAGGAACACAATTCAGGCCATAACTTGTGTGTCCTTCCCAAGGAGGGGTGTGGGGAAGGCAGCTTTCTCCCGCTGAATGGCTGAGGGCATGCCCTGGAGAGACTCAGCCATTGGCTGGCACCTCCTGGCAGGTTGGAGCAGGCACCTTGGTCCTCGAGGGGTGAGTGTGGCATCCACGCATCCTGGGGGCTCCCATGTGGGTGGGGTTATGCCAGGCATGCAGCGCCTCTGTTGGTGGCCTCCTGGTGTCCATGAGCCCGTGGCTCCCATTCCAAGCATGAGGGCGATAGGAGCTGGACGGGGCCAAAGGGCCCAGTCACGTGTGCCCAGTCGCAGGCGGCTTAGATGGGGGTTTTGTACACTCAGCTGTAGTGTGGCCCACAGGTTTGGAGATGGCCATAGGAAAGACAGTTCACAACTCACAGCCCCAGAAGAGAGTGAGGCCACACCGCAGGCCTGGGGGACACACCTATGGGTCAGGAGGCAGGAGAAGAGGGAAGCGTGGGCAGGAGCCTTTGCCACAGTCTCTGGGAAGGAGGGAGACACATACAAACATGCACACACATACACACATAGGCATGCATGCACACCCATATACCTGCACACATACACATATATGCACATTACACATACACACACATACACACATAGGCATGCATGCACACCCATATGCCTGCACACACACATACACATATGTGCACATTACACATACATAAACACACATATGCACATAGGCATGCATGCACACCCGTATACCTGCACACATACACGTATACACACATTACACATACCCACACATACACACATAGGCATGCATGCACACCCATATAACTGCACACATACACATATACGCACATTACACATACACACATAAACACACATACGCACATGGGCATGCATGCACACCCATATACCTGCACACACACATACACATATACGTACTTTACACACACACACACACGGCTTAAAGGAATGCAGAAGACATTTCCCTGTGGGAACGCACAGCAATGGACGATAATGTTTTTCCTCGGTTCCAGTGCCTCCAAGAGAATATGATGATATAATCCTGGCCCCTTTCACCTGGGCTTTGCAGCTTGGAAGAAAGAAAAGATATTCCAGTTTGTGCAGTGTTGAACTATCCCTAAAGCAAGTAACAGGAGACGTCAAAATGTATGCTTATGTCACCCTTATGAAAATGCCTTTTTGTTAGAAATTATGAACATCACCCATCACTAGGTACAAGGAGGTAATTAGGGTAATTGATTGGCGTTAAATGCAGCAGGGACTGCAAACTGGATTTGCAGAGTCTGGTAGCCGTCGTGGAAAGAAATTTATTCATTCCTTCACTGAAGGCCATAAAGCCATTTTGGTTTCAGAGCGTGCACTAGGCCACCCTGGGCTGAGGGCTGCAGGGTTCGAATGCTGTAACATAACGGAGAGAGATTTGTTTGCTGAGGCAGGCTGGCATTTTAGTATTGCTCTTCTGTTCTTTTGATAGTCTCCAGACATATGCTTTGGAATGGGGATTTGGTACTTGAATTCATGCTTTGAAATTGACTCTGGTTGACATTCTTTCTGTATTGAAATTTCTTCTGTCAAAGCCTGCGAAATTGGCTTCTTAAATCAGAAACAGAAACATACAAGCTGGTCTCATTTGTTAGTTAATTTGCAGGCTGCTGAAGAAAAAAATCTTTACTTTGTTTTTTATGGAAACATGTTTTTAATTCACAAAAAAAATCCCATAAACCTGCCAAAGTGAATCTCTTCTTTGATGGCAGAGGAGCTGCTCTTCCATCTGCCACCAGCCAGCCTCAGCCTCCCTTCCCGAACTGAGCTTTTCACACATTCCCAGGAGAGTGGCAGCGTGAGCTCCCCCGTGCCCAGGAACTGGGTGGCCGGGCCTCCTTCTGCCCCATCGCCTCTGCCTGCACCTTCTGCTGGTCCAGCTCAGACAAAAGTAAACCCGGACCTCACCCCAGGACCTTTCCTGATCCTGGCCCCTCCCGTCAGCCGACAGTGACCTTCAACACGTGTCCCCTCCACACTGGCTTCTCCACCCTGATGATGCTACCACTCATTTCATGTCCATCTCCTGTACCGAATTGTAATGTCATTGAGAACTGTGGCTTTTCTTAAATTAAAAATAAGGGTGTTTATTACAAAAGTCATATAGGGTTCATGTAGACAATTTAAAAATATAAAGAAAAGTCATTGAAAACCCTGTAATCTTCATCTCCTAGTGACGGTCCCTGTTTCACATCTTCTGGCTGCTTCTGCACATAACACAGTTACATCTTTAAAAGACATAAAAATGTCAAGTGCTTTAAAAATTGCTTTTCCCCCTCATGAGCATCTTTTCATCACTAAATGCACATTCTGGAATAGTATTTTGGGTAGCTGGGTAGTATCCATCCTGTGCTTTTCGCCCTCGTGAGCATCTTTTCATCGCTAAATACACATTCTGGAATAGTATTTTTGGTAGCTGGGTAGTATCCATCCTGTGGTTTTAATAAATATTGTAAGCCATCCCCTATGATACAGTACTGTTGTCATTTCTCCTCTTTCCCTGATTACCAATTCCCCAGTCCCTGACCCTGGGCTGCATTGTCTTGGGGAAGCTTCATGGAAGGAAAGTTGCCCACTCTAAGGACATGACCAGTCCGAAGGCCTCCAGTCATCTCCAGAAAGACCGGGCGCTCCACTGCCCGCCACCTGGCCTGAAGACACGGAGATAAGAATTGTCAAGTCCCCAAAGTTGTGAATTCTTTATTCTTCCTTAGTCATCTTTTTCCAGTGCTCAAACTTCCTCACTGTCAGGAAATGTAAACCAAAATTCACACGGACAAAATGTGAACAAAACATTGGCAAATGTACACCTGTTTTCTTAACTGCTGATTTCTTGCTGAGAGAACCTGCTGTGGCTGAGGCCCCAGGCCTGTCTCTTACCTGACCTACAGCTCTGCAGCTCTGCGGTGTCATCTGTGGGACATTTACATTGACCATGTCATTAATACCCGATATGGTTTGTGTCCCCACCGAAATCTCGTTTTGCCTGGCAGCTCCCATAATCCTCATGTGTCATGAGAGGGACCCAGTAGGAGGTGACTGAATCATGGGGTGGGTCTTTCCTGTGCTGTTTTCATGATGGTGACTAAGTCTTATGAGATCTGATGGTTTTTTAAAAGGGAGTTCCCCTGCACACACTCTCTTGCCTGCCACCATGTAAGACATGACTTTGCTCCTCATTCGCCTTCTGCCATGACTGCGAGGCCTCCCCAGCCACGTGGAACTGAGTCAGTTAAACCTCTTTCCTTTATAAATTGCCCAGTCTGGGGTATGTCTTTATTAGCAGTGTGAGAAGAGATGCATACAATACCTCCAATTCCCTTTCAGCGCGGTCTGTATTCCTCTTTGAACACGTGCAGACCTGGGCACAAGGCACCAGGTCATAAAGGCTTTAGAAGAACCCGGCTGGAGAGCACCACAGACACCGCCTGTCCAGCTCACGGTCACAGTTCAGGATCCTTGTCCTGAGCCTTTGGGCCTCTTGGAATCTGGGTGGAGGGAGAATCTGGAACTTCCCATCCTGTCCAACCCTCTCCTCATCACAGCATCTGGATCTTCTAGTGTGCGTGGTGCTAGGGTGTCACTGTGAGCTGCCGTGTGCCTGGGCCACCTTGGGGGTGCTACAGCTGTGATCCACCTGCACCGTGACCCACAGGGGCCTGCGGGACTGTGGTGTTGGGTGTCCGCGCCTCGTTACTGGGGGACTGTGTGGTGTTGGGGTGTCCGCGCCTCGTTTCTGGGGGACTGTGTGGTGTTGGGGTGTCCGCGCCTCGTTACTGGGGGACTGTGTGGTGTTGGGGTGTCTGCACCTCGTTACTGGGGGACTGTGTGGTGTTGGGTGTCCGCGCCTCGTTACTGGGGGACTGTGTGGTGTTGGGTGTCCGCGCCTCGTTACTGGGGGACTGTGTGGAGTTGGGGTGTCCGCGCCTCGTTGCTGCGGGACTGTGTGGTGTTGGGGTGTCCGCGCCTCGTTGCTGCGGGACTGTGTGGTGTTGGGGTGTCGGCGCCTCGTTACTGGGGGACTGTGTGGTGTTGGGTGTCCGCGCCTCGTTACTGGGGGACTGTGTGGTGTTGGGGTGTCCGCGCCTCGTTACTGGGGGACTGTGTGGTGTTGGGTGTCCGCGCCTCGTTACTGGGGGACTGTGTGGTGTTGGGGTGTCCGCGCCTCGTTACTGGGGGACTGTGTGGTGTTGGGGTGTCTGCACCTCGTTACTGGGGGACTGTGTGGTGTTGGGGTGTCTGCGCCTCGTTACTGGGGGACTGTGTGGTGTTGGGTGTCGGCGCCTCGTTACTGGGGGACTGTGTGGTGTTGGGGTGTCCGCGCCTCGTTACTGGGGGACTGTGTGGTGTTGGGGTGTCCGCGCCTCGTTGCTGGGGGACTGTGTGGTGTTCGGGTGTCCGCGCCTCGTTACTGGGGGACTGTGTGGAGTTCGGGTGTCCGCGCCTCGTTGCTGCGGGACTGTGTGTTGTTGGGGTGTCGGCGCCTCGTTACTGGGGGACTGTGTGGTGTTGGGGTGTCCGCGCCTCGTTACTGGGGGACTGTGTGGTGTTGGGTGTCCGTGCCTCGTTGCTGGTGGACTGTGTGGTGTTGGGTGTCCGCGCCTCGTTGCTCGGGGACTGTGTGGTGTTGGGGTGTCCGCGCCTCGTTGCTGGGGGACTGTGTGGTGTTGGGGTGTCCGCGCCTCATTACTGGGGGGCTGTGTGGTGTTGGGGTGTCCGCGCCTCGTTACTGGGGGACTGTGTGGTGTTGGGGTGTCTGCGCCTCGTTACTGGGGGACTGTGTGGTGTTGGGTGTCCGCGCCTCGTTACTGGGGGGCTGTGTGGTGTTGGGGTGTCCGCGCCTCGTTACTGGGGGGCTGTGTGGTGTTGGGGTGTCCGCGCCTCGTTACTGGGGGACTGTGTGGTGTTGGGGTGTCCGTGCCTCGTTACTGCGGGGACTGTGCAGTGTCCGGGTGTCCGCGCCTCGTTACTGGGGGACTGTGTGGTGTTGGGGTGTCCGCGCCTCGTTGCTGGGGGGCTGTGTGGTTTTGGGGTGTCCGCGCCTCGTTACTGGGGGACTGTGTGGTGTTGGGTGTCCGCGCCTCGTTGCTGGGGGACTGTGTGGTGTTGGGGTGTCCGCGCCTCATTGCTGGGGGACTGTGTGGTGTTGGGGTGTCCGCGCCTCGTTACTGGGGGGCTGTGTGGTGTTGGGGTGTCTGCGCCTCGTTACTGGGGGACTGGTGTTGGAGTGTCTGCGCCTCGTTACTGGGGGACTGTGTGGTGTTGGGTGTCTGCGCCTCGTTGCTGGGGGACTGTGTGGTGTTGGGGTGTCCGTGCCTCGTTACTGGGGGGCTGTGTGGTTTTGGGGTGTCCGCGCCTCATTACTGGGGGGCTGTGTGGTGTTGGGGTGTCCGCGCCTCGTTACTGGGGGGCTGTGTGGTGTTGGGGTGTCCGCGCCTCGTTACTGGGGGACTGTGTGGTGTTGGGGTGTCCGCGCCTCGTTACTGGGGGACTGTGTGGTGTTGGGGTGTCCGTGCCTCGTTACTGCGGGGACCGTGCAGTGTCCGGGTGTCCGCGCCTCGTTGCTGCGGGACTGTGTGGTGTTGAGGACTCCTTGCCACACGGGGTCCATGGTAAGGGGAGCTCCTGCTCGTCCAGGCTGGAAGTCCAGGATATGTGAGTGACAGAAATGAGCATGCCTCTCCCTCTCCCTTGGCTCCTGTCCTGGGCTGCAATGTGGAAGATGTCAGATCTGCCGGAGCACTGGTGTGGCATGGCATTTAGGAATGAATACAGGGGCCTTCAGCCAGAAGACCTGCCTTCACCACCAGCCACGCAGATCCCTGCTGGTAGTGCTGTCGATCGGCTCACAGGCAATATGGACACTGGAAAGATGGCAGGTTCCTTTTCTGATGATATAAGTAGTATACCTCAGTAGCTAAGTATTTTACAGCAAGGAAAAAAAATACCCTGTCTGAAGACCTTTTAAATATGGAAATTTTTTATTTTCTTTCTCTGTAAACAGCATTTGGGGAGATTCTCTTCTCCTACATGAAAAACATGCTATGTTAGTTCCTTGACTACAGACTGTGGGTGATGAGCTAGTTGCTGTGGAAAGCTTTGGAGTTCTCTACACTCAGCGACTGCATGCTGTGTTCTTTTGCCTTTGTAAACGTGAGTTTGACCTATGGAGTGAACTTTACCCAGAGCCTCTGGGGAGCTGTTCAAAGCTAATGAACCGTGGGGAAAAGAAACCAGGTCCTGACCTGCAGGGAGCAGCTCCCGCAATGGAAACCATTGTGTTCCAGTTCCATGACTTTTTGCTCATGGCTATGTTGGGTTTCCAGTTTCACAGATGGTGGATGGAAACAGAATACTGGCCTGCACTGTCATCTTCATGGTTTACCCTCCCCTCAGAGAGACACGTAACGCAAACACACAGCAGGCAGCCTGTGGGGCCGTTATGGGTGATATATAAAATGCACGTGGGTTCAGTTCTCGAACAGTCAGATACACAGCACAGGGGGGTTATATGTATGGGCTCTCAGCTCTGTGCAAGGCAGATATATAGCAAGTACATGGGCCCAGTTCTGTGCCTGGCAGATATATAACAGGCATAGGTGCTCACCTCTGTGCCAGGCAGATGTATAACATGCACAGTTGCTCAGTTTGGTACCATGCGGATATATAATACGCACGGGTGCTGAGTTCTATACCACACAGATATATAACATTCATGGTTGCTCAAGTCTGCACCAGGCAGACACATAACATGCATAGTTGCTCAGCTCTGTACCAGGCAGACATATAACAAGCACAGGTGGTCAGCTCTGTACCACACAGATATATTGCATGCACAGGCAGGTGCTGAGTTCCATACCACACAGATATGTAACATTCATGGTTGCTCAGGTCTGCACCAGGCAGACATATAACATGCGTGGGTGCTGAGTTCCATACCACACAGATATATAGTATTCATGGTTGCTCAGGTCTGCACCAGGCAGACATATAACATGCATGGGTGCTCAGCTCTGTACGAGGCAGACGTATAACACGCACAGGTGATCAGCTCTGTACCACCCAGATATATAACATGAGCGGGTGCTGAGTTCTGTAACAGGCAGACATATTCCATGCACAGGTGCTTGGTGATATGTCAGGTGGAATGTGATGTGGCTGGGCAAGATCCTTTTGCAACTCTGAGTACTGAGAATTTGCATGTATGATAGAACTTGGCTTCTAGATTTAAAACCGTCCTCTTTTATTTGCTTGCAATTAAGATATAAGTATACAATAAGATAGGCATTTTCTCCCTTGTTTTCTTTTTTTTTTTTCCTTTTCTTCTCTGTTCAGTTTCTCAACTTTCAATTTCCTCTTATACCAGAGGGAAATAAAACTAAATTTTAGCCAGTGCTTTGTCCCAGCTGCTGAGATTGCAAGTGTCCCTTCTTCTCTTACTTTTCTCACATGTTCTCACTTTATCCATAGTGTTTACCTATCACTTATAATGAAGAAAAACCAACATTTTTATATTCATTTCCTTTTAGGATATGCATTTTTATACATCTGACTTTAACTGATAAATGACTGTAAAGAGGTGTATCTTTATGGAATTGTAGAGGATTTGTTTCCAAAAAGGAGCTGATGCTGCCGTTCTCAGTGACAAAGTTGATGCGTGTTTCATGTCTGTCTGCTCCCAGGTACCTCAGGATGAGTGGGGAGGGTACCCCACCGGTGGCAAAGATGAGGAGATTCCCTGCAGGAGAATGAGAAGTGGGAGTTACATTAAAGCCATGGGGGACGAGGAGAGCGGAGAGTCAGACTCCAGCCCCAAGACATCACCAAAGTCGGCAATCCTACCAGAGCCGCTGCTGAAGTCCATCGGACAGAGACCGCTTGGAGAGCACCAGACGTAAGTGAGACCAGCTGCCTTCCCACTCCAAGCACTTTCCCACTGCCTGCGAGCTCCCTCTCCAAAACCACTTCACCGTGAGCTGAGTGCCATCCATTTAAACTAAATTGCCAAGCTGAAAATATTAGACCCATGGCTGTCAATTTTCAAGTATTTTTTTAAAGAACAACCAGAGCTTTTGTTATTTATCAATTACATAATAATTAAGGAAGTGTGCTTGGGCAACTTCCTTGTCAAATTATAAAGCCAACATGAGCCATCGTATCTTTCTGATCATTCAGATTATCCTCAGGACAAGCACATGTCTCTGTTTGTATGAATGTGTGCGTATGGGTGTGTGTTTGAATGTCTTTGTGAGTAAAACTCGTTAACGGAATTTTGTTGTTGACTATAACTTTGTAAGTGCATTTCTAGGCAACACATTTTTTTGTAGAGGAGGGAGGAAATGGACTAGCTTTATAAATATAATACCCTACACTTTACATATTTGCCCAAAATTTATTATTAATAAATTTAATTTTGAAAATATAGACAGATAAAACTCTTTGGGAAATCAGCAATTCCTATGAACCATGAAAATATGACTGTTACTGTCAACAGCCACGCTGCTGTGTATCTTGAGTCCCACAAGTTAGTTTGGGTGGTAATGCCAAGAACTGCCTGGAAGCTACCCCTGCCTTCTGCGGCCGGCTGTGAGGTCCTGGGCAAGTGGATAGGCAGGGCGGAACTGCTTCTCAGCCTTGGCCAGTGCCACATAAGAGTTATTAATTATGACCCACACATCAGACAGGGAGCCCTGGGCCACAGGGCCCTCCCTGTATTGTCTCTATCCACGCCGAGTGCACCCAGTGATGAGCCAGTGACCATATAACCTCTTCCAATACATCTAGTTATTCATCGCTGTTGGCTTACAAGATGAAAAAGTGAAATTTTAAATTGAAACCAAATCTTACAAATTAGAACTTCACAAATCCGAACTCTATCATTGTTGCCTAGTTCAGCTAAATTCAAGAGCTATGGTGTAGGAATGCCAGACAAGTCATGCCCTGAGACCGGGCCGCATGTCTGCCCAGCCCAGGCCCATCCATCTCCTCTCCCTCCACAGAGGGTGGTCAGTGCCAGCTTGTGGGACGAGTGGCTGAGAACAAAGCCAAAATGTTGCCCTGGGGAAGCTCTTAGACTTGTTGGAAGGAAATGGGGAGCAGGTGTTTGTAAGCCAGGAAATAACCAGGAAAGATGATTACCAGGAAGGGGTTGGGGAGCTGGACAGAGCTGGGAGCAGAGCCAAGTTGTCTGACCCATCTGCTCCAGCAGGAAAGTGAAGGATTGGACTGGATGTCAGCTCTCACCCACCTTTTATTTGGCACACTTAAAGACATTAGGAGAATTATGAATTATCTGAAACGTCTTCTGGGGAAAAGCACACACATGCAGAAGCTATGCTTCGTGGGTCCAGGGCTCCAAGGCCAGCCTCAGTCCTGGGGTTTTGGACCCCCAGGTAAACAGCCATTGGTTAACTTCCCACTTTAAATGTTTGTGATTCATTGCATAATTCTATATGTTTGAAAGCAAAACATGAAAAAACCAAAGCCTTTTTTAGACCATGGGCAGGGACTAAGTGTTTTAAGAATTACGAACGGCGTTTTCCTGTTGACGGGTTCCTTCTTCCACTCATTCACCATCACTGCCACGGGTCCCCCAGGATCATTATCACCTCATTCTTCAGTGGCAGAGACAGTGTCTCATTCCTTTCTTCACATCAGGGACTGGCCCAGAGTCCTGTACGAGGCTCCAGTACTAACAATGTTCAAAGGACACTCTCAGAACTTTACACTGGCAAAACTCACACCATCACCCAATGTAGTTGAAACTCTTCAAAAAACCAGCGGAAGGATGTGAGCCTGAGGCCCCCTGACAGCATCACCTAAACACTGGCCAGACCCTTCCCTGCCCAAGTGGGAAACCCTCTGGGAGTTCACTCACCAACAGCCCTTAACACCTGACCAGAAAGCATTCCATGGCCTCAAATCTGATCAGATGTGAGGAAAATGGGTGAGATGTGCTGCCTACGTTACTCCTGTTCTAAACACAAATCCACTCTGCCCGTGGACCCCCATGCCACTGTCCACTCAGCAAACACAAATCCACTCTGCCCATGGCCCCCATGCCACTGCCCACTCAGCAGACACAAATCCGTCTCTGCCTGTGGCCCCCATGCCACTGTCCATTCAGCAGACACAAATCCACTCTGCCCGTGGCCCCCATGCCACTGTCCACTCAGCAGACACAAATCTGTCTCTGCCTGTGGCCCCCATGCCACTGTCCACTCAGTAGACACAAATCCACTCTGCCCATGGCCCCCGTGCCACTGTCCACTCAGCAGACACAAATCCGTCTTTGCCTGTGGCCTCCATGCCACTGTCCACTCAGCAGACACAAATCCACTCTGCCCGTGGCCCCCATGCCACTGTCCACTCAGCACACACAAATCCACTCTGCCCGTGGCCCCGATGCCATTGTCCACTCAGCAGACACAAATCCACTCTGCCCGTGGCCCCCGTGCCACTGTCCACTCAGCAGACACAAATCCGTCTCTGCCCGTGGCCCCCATGCCACTGTCCACTCAGCAGACACAAATCCACTCTGCCCGTGGCCCCCATTCCACTGTCTACTCAGCAGACACAAATCCGTCTCTGCCCGTGGCCCCCATGCCACTGTTCACTCAGCAGACACAAATCCGTCTCTGCCCGTGGCCCCCATGCCACTGTCCACTCAGCAGACACAAATCCGTCTCTGCCCGTGGCCCCCATGCCACTGCCCACTCAGCAGACACAATTCCGCTCTGCCCGTGGCCCCCATGCCACTGTCCACTCAGCAGACACAAATCCGTCTCTGCCCGTGGCCCCCATGCCACTGTCCACTCAGCAGACACAAATCCGTCTCTGCCTATGGCCCCCATGCCACTGTCCACTCAGCAGACACAAATCCATCTCTGCCTGCGGCCCCCATGCCACTGCCCACTCAGCAGACACAAATCCACTCTGCCCGTGGCCTCCATGCCACTGTCCACTCAGCAGACACAAATCCATCTCTGCCTGTGGCCCCCATGCCACTGTCCACTCAGCAGACACAAATCCACTCTGCCTGCAGCCCCCATGCCACTGCCCACTCAGCAGACACAAATCCGTCTCTGCCCGTGGCCCCCATGCCACTGCCCACTCACCAGACACAAATCCACTCTGCCCGTGGCCCCCATGCCACTGCCCACTCAGCAGACACAAATCCACTCTGCCTATGGCCCCCATGCCATTGTCCACTTAGCAGAGATGGTGCAACAGTTGGGTCCATTCTTCCATTTATCCAGGATTTATCACTCCATTGATGAGTCCAACAAATGTCAGGCATTCTGCCAAACTCGATTTATACGTGCCCCAATCATTCTTTTTCCCTAAATCTGACGCCGTGTTGTAGATAATAAAGCAGAGAAAGCAGCCATGTGATGGGTCTGGACAGCGACCTGCCTGCCAGGGACCTGCTAACTTGAAAGTCCTCGAAACTCCTCTGAGTCACTCTTTGGGGGTTAATGTAATGAAAGTTTCTGCAAAAAAAAAATATTATGTTACCAGGAGGTATCAACACATTTTTGCTGTTGCCTATTCGCATCTTAGTTTATCTTATATTCCTTCACGTTTTATGGATTCCAACGTAATTCATTTATTTCCATTTTAGATGACATTGCTGAAGCTCAGCTTTGTAACTCAGGGAAGCTCTCATGATGCCTGTTTTATGGACAGAAACATGACTCAGGGAAATGAGGTGCTGGAGGCTGCACAAGCCACCAAGGCTCTCAGCTGAAGGTAGCTCAGCCCCAAGCCCCGTGGCCTTCAGCCCATGGCACTGCTCTGTGGAGGGCAGGGTAGATCTTCACCCTGTGGCACTGTTCTGCGGAGGGCAGGATAGATCTTCACCCCATGGCACTGCTCTGTGGAGGGCAGGTAGATCTTCACCCCATGGCACTGCTCTGTGGAGGGCAGGGTAGATCTTCACCCCATGGCACTGCTCTGTGGAGGGCAGTGGCGGAGGCCAGGGTAGATACTGTGGGGAGAGGAGAGAAAGGAAGAAAACGGCCAGGACTGGGAGAATTCCCATAGTTGTCACTCTGTAACCCTGTGTTTCCAGGAAACAAGGGCACGCTGAGCTGTAGTGAGTGTGGACAAAATTCTCTTGAAAGATTTTAACAGTGGAGATGTCAGAAGCACATCATAGGGACCTCAGATTAAACAGGAAAGACAAGACCGGGGAGGCACATACACATCCATGTGCCGTCTTCATTCTGCTGGCCTCCAGGGTCATGTTAACTGTGCTGGGAACGACTTGGGTTTCACCCACGTGAACGCCCAGCACCCCCTATGACTGTGGCTGGCACCATGATGTCGTCTCTGCATCCTGTTCCATTACGCACAGCCCTTTCATAATGTTCACTCCTGGGGGCTCTTTCAATCTAGGCACATTTAAATATCAGCATTTTTAACGTGTAGCAGGTGAATATTCATATCCCAAACATGTTCTCCTAATCCAATTCCTCATTTGTCTTAGTTTTAAAATTGATTTCTGAGTTGACCATTCCCACCTAAGCTTTGAGAAGGCTCAGTTGGATTTCACATGTTCACCACAGTGTAGGTGCAGACGCTGTAATGCCCAAGAGGCTGGCTGTGGAGGCGTCTGCTGGGATGGAGAGGAGAGAAGGATGAAGAGAGGACACATCTGCTGGGATGGAGGGAGGGGTGAACTGTGGGGGTGTCTGATGAGATGGAGAGGAGAGAGGGGTAAACTGGAGGGACATCTTCTGGGATGGAGAGGAGAGGGGTGAACTGCGGGGGTGTCTGATGAGATGGAGAGGAGAGAGGGTGAACTGTGGGGATGTCTGATGAGATGGAGAGGAGAGAGGGTGAACTGTGGGGATGTCTGATGAGATGGAGAAGAGAGAGGGGTGAACTGGAGGGGCGTCTTCTGGGATGGAGAGGAGAGAGGGTGAACTGTGGGGGTGTCTGATGAGATGGAGAGGAGAGAGGGGTGAACTGTGGGGCGTCTGATGAGATGGAGAAGAGAGAGCGGTGAACTGGAGGGGCATCTTCTGGGATGGAGAGGAGAGAGGTGAACTGTGGGGGCATCTGATGAGATGGGGAGGAGAGAGGGTGAACTGTGGGGACATCTGATGAGATGGAGAGGAGAAAGGGGTGAACTGTGGGGGCATCTTCTGGGATGGAGAGGAGAGAGGGTGAACTGTGGGGGCATCTGATGAGATGGAGAGGGGAGAGGGTGAACTCTGGGGGTGTCTGATGAGATGGAGAAGAGAGAGGGGTGAACTGGAGGGGTGTCTTCTGGGATGGAGAGGAGAGAGGTGAACTGTGCGGGCATCTGATGAGATGGGGAGGAGAGAGGGTGAACTGTGGGGGCATCTGATGAGATGGAGAGGAGAGAGGGGTGAACTGTGGGGGCATCTGATGAGATGGAGAGGAGAGAGGGTGAATTGTGGGGTGTCTGATGAGATGGAGAGGAGAGAGGGGTGAACTGTGGGGTGTCTGATGAGATGGAGAGGAGAAAGGGGTGAACTGGAGGGTTGTCTTCTGGGATGGAGAGGAGAGAGGAGTGAACTGTGGGGTGTCTGATGAGATGGAGAGGGGAGAGGGGTGAACTGGAGGGGCATCTTCTGGGACGGAGAGGAGAGAGGGGGTGAACTATGGGGGCATCTGATGAGATGGAGAGAGAGAAGGGTGAACTGTGGGGGCATCTTCTGGGATGGAGAGGAGAGAGGGTGAACTGTGGGGGCGTCTGATGAGATGGAGAGGAGAGAGGGTGAACTGTGGGGGCGTCTTCTGGGATGGAGAGGAGACGGGGTGAACTATGGGGCGTCTGATGAGATGGAGAGGAGAGAGGGTAAACTGTGGGGGCGTCTGCTGGGATGGAGAGGAGACAGGGTGAACTGTGGGGGCGTCTAATGAGATGGAGAGGAGAGAGGGTAAACTGTGGGGGCGTCTGCTGGGATGGAGAGGAGAGAGGGTGAACTGTGGGGGCGTCTGATGAGATGGAGAGGAGAGAGGGTGAACTGTGGGGGCGTCTGATGAGACGGAGAGGAGAGAGGGTGAACTGTGGGGATGTCTGATGAGATGGAGAGGAGAGAGGGTGAACTGTGGGGGCGTCTGATGAGATGGAGAGGAGAGAGGGTGAACTGGAGGGGCATCTTCTGGGATGGAGAGGAGAGAGGGTGAACTGTGGGGGTGTCTGATGAGATGGAGAGGAGAGAGGGTGAACTGTGGGGGCATCTGATGAGATGGAGAGGAGAGGGGGTGAACTATGGGGGCATCTGCTGGAATAGAGAGGAGAGAGGTGAACTGTGGGGGCATCTGATGAGATGGAGAGGAGAAAGGAGTGAACTGTGGGGGCGTCTTCTGGGATGGAGAGGAGAGAGGGTGAACTGTGGGTTGTCTGATGAGATGGAGAGGAGAGAGGGGTGAACTGTGGGGGCATCTGCTGGAATAGAGACGAGAGAGGTGAACTGTGGGGCGTCTGATGAGATGGAGAGGAGAGAAGGGTGAACTGTGGGGGCATCTTCTGGGATGGAGAGGAGAGAGGGTGAACTGTGGGGGCGTCTGATGAGATGGAGAGGAGAGAGGGTGAACTGTGGGGGCGTCTGCTGGTATGGAGAGGAGAGGGTGAACTGTGGGGGCGACTGATGGGATGGAGAGGAGAGAGGGTGAACTGGAGGGGCATCTTCTGGGATGGAGAGGAGAGAGGGTGGACTGTGGGGGTGTCTGATGAGATGGAGAGGAGAGAGGGTGAACTGTGGGGGCGTCTGATGAGATGGAGAGGAGAGAGGGGTGAACTGTGGGGGCATCTGATGAGATGGAGAGGAGAGAGGGGTGAACTGTGGGGGCATCTGATGAGATGGAGAGGAGAGAGGGTTGAACTGTGGGGGCATCTGATGAGATGGAGAGGAGAGATGGTGAACTGGAGGGGTGTCTGATGAGATGGAGATGAGAGAGGGTGAAGTATTGGGGGCATCTGATGAGATGGAGAGGAGAGAGGGTGAACTGGAGGGGCGTCTTCTGGGATGGAGAGGAGAGAGGGTGGACTGTGGGGGTGTCTGATGAGATGGAGAGGAGAGAGGGTGAACTGTGGGGGCATCTGATGAGATGGAGAGGAGAGAGGGGTGAACTGTGGGGGCATCTGATGAGATGGAGAGGAGAGATGGTGAACTGGAGGGGTAATCTGATGAGATGGAGATGAGAGAGGGTGAAGTGTCAGGGGCATCTGATGAGATGGAGAGGAGAGAGGGTGAACTGGAGGGGCGTCTTCTGGGATGGAGAGGAGAGAGGGTGGACTGTGGGGGTGTCTGATGAGATGGAGAGGAGAGAGGGTGAACTGTGGGGGCATCTGATGAGATGGAGGGGAGAGAGGGGTGAACTGTGGGGGCGTCTGATGAGATGGAGGGGAGAGAGGGGTGAACTGTGGGGGCGTCTGATGAGATGGAGAGGAGAGAAGGTGAACTGTGGGGGCATCTAATGGGATTGAGAAGACAGAAAGGGTGAAGAGTGTCTGAGAGAAAAGTCCTTTAGACCCCTGACTGCCATCCGTGGGTTTCACAGCTTGGGGAGCATATTCTTGCTTAAGTTATATTTAGTCATCAATAATAACAGCTCGTTTATTCGGGAAGTATGCAGGAAACATCACGTGCTGTTCTGGTGCCCAAATGCAGGTAAACTAACACCAGAGAATGGAGCTTTCAGTCCAGATGCTGGCAAGCAAGGGCCTGCCAAGGGCCTTTTTTGTGAATAAAGTTTTATTGGAATGTGGCCCGCTCACTGGTCATCATGTTGCTGTGGGTACCTCCCAGCTTCAGGCAGGGCTGAGCAGGTGTGAGGCACCCCGACAGCCGGCAGACCCTAGAATACTTACATCTGGGCCTTTACAGAAGGTGTGAGCTGACCCCTTAGAATCTAACAGACCCAGTGCACTTCAGTGAGTAGTCATAAGTGGCGTAGGTAACTTACAAGTGTAAAGTGAGGTGCTCTCTAAATGCGTGAGACAGGACTCCTAACCCATTCTGGGAGCTCCAGGCTTGTCTCCCTGCAGACTCACATTTGCATTGAGGGGTCCACCCTAGAGCATTAGGGTAAGCGGTGGGTAGGAGAGCATCAGCCCTGCACAGAGCAGGACCAAGTTCCCAAAGACAGCATATTTACGGGAGAGGGAAATAATATTTTATAGTAACACTATTTCATGTTGAATGCCAACTCTGTTGAATCACTCAGGTGCAATCAGAAAATGGAAACAGGTTCTGCGTCACCAGATTTTAGTGTATGGGGGGTAACGTGAGACAGGAGAGCAATGAACTAGGCACAGCACCGGCAATAATTGCAGGACTTGTAATACACCAAGAACAACAGCCATCCCAGCCCTCGCCGCTCTGGTAACTGTGCTGAAGCCAACACCATGACCCAAGCCTTAGAGATGAAGACCCTGTCTCAGCGAGTCACACCACCGGAAGTCAACTCTAGGTCTCTCAGTTTTACGCGGCTAAACCATGCTGCCCCCTGCCCCCGGAGGCAGCAGAATCTCCCCTCGGTGATGAGTCACCTCCCTCGGTGATGAGTCCTGTGTGTGGTCTTCCCACCAGAGCCTCAATACCATCGAGCAAGCACATTTATTAAACAGTTAGTTGACATTTCCATTTTGTTATGACCCAAATCATGTGTTACTGCAAATAAAAGCTTCCACTTAGGCTGAGCTAAGCACCTTTACTGTGCTGAGTTGATAAAGTTGGTTGACCCACATTAAACTGCCAATAATCAGCCAATATTTAAAAGCAGAAATTGTATATGGTTCAACCTGATCATTCCGGACACAAGAAAGGAAACCCACGAACATACGTGTGACAGGCATCTCACTCTGCATAAATATGTGACTCATGAGATTTTGCAAGCATTGAGAAAATACCTAATGAGTCTTGAAGATGTTTCTTCGCCTAAGAATTGTATTTGGAATCCACTGTTGTGCTTCCTGCTAGTGACTGAGTATCTTCCACAAACACACACGTGTGCACACACTCACTACACAGGGACAGAGAGAGGCAAGCGAGGGAGAAACGCAATGTTAGGTCATAATAACGCACAACAAGAGACTATGAACAATACAAAAAATCATCACAGACGACAGAGTTTCTTCCTCTTTAGGAGTGACTAGTATTCCACACCGTATCTGCTGCATTTTCATCCACTCACCCTTTGATGACAGAGGTTGACTCTGTGACTTGGCGATTGTGAGCAGTGCTGTGGCAAACGTGGGAAGGCAGACGTGAATGGAAGCAGAGGGCATTAGGTTACATGAAATAAGCCAAAATACAGAAAAACAAACACCGCAAATCCCCACCTAAATACAGGACCTAAAACAATGGAACTCACAGGTGCAGACAGTGGAATGGAGGTTACAGAAGCTGGGGGTGCGGAAAATGGAGAGTTGAGGGTCAAAAGAACCACCCTCCGTGAGACAGGAGGATATTCTTTATTATTATTATTATTATTATTATTATTATTATTTAAGTTCTAGGGTACATGTGCACAATGTGCAGGTTTGCTACATATGTATACATGTGCCATGTTGGTGTGCTGTACCCATTAACTCGTCATTTACATTAGATATATCTCCTAATGCTTTCCCTCCCCCCTCCCCCCACCCCATAACAGGCCCTAGTGTGTGATGTTCCCCTTCCTGTGTCCAAGTCTTCTCATTGTTCAATTCCCACCTATGAGTGAGAACATGTGGTGTTTGGTTTTTTGTTCTTGTGATAGTTTGCTCAGAATGATGGTTTCTAGCTTCATCCATGTCCCTACAAAGGACATGAACTTGTCCTTTTTATGGCTGCGTAGTTTTCCATGGTGTATATGTGCCACATTTTCTTAATCCAGTCTATCATTGATGGACATTTGGGTTGGTTCCAAGTCTTTGCTATTGTGAATAGTGCTGTAATAAACATACATGTGCATGTGCCTTTATAGCAGCATGATTTATAGTCCTTCCGGTATATACCCAGTAATGGGATGGCTGGGTCAAATGGTATTTCTAGTTCTAGATCCTTGAGGAATCGCCACACTGTCTTCCACAATGGTTGAACTAGTTTACAGTCCCACCAACAGTGTAAAAGTGTTCCTATTTCTCCACATCCTCTCCAGCACCTGTTGTTTCCTGACTTTTTAATGATCGCCATTCTAACTGGTGTGCGATGGTGTCTCATTGTGGTTTTGATTTGCATTTCTCTGATGGCCAGTGATGATGAGCATTTTTTCATGTGTCTGTTGGCTGCATAAATGTCTTCTTTTGAGAAGTGTCTGTTCATGTCCTTCGCCCACTTGTTGATGGGGTTGTTTATTTTTTTCTTGTAAATTTATTTGAGTTCTTTGTAGATTCTGGATATTAGCCCTTTGTCAGATGAGTAGATTGCAAAAATTTTCTCCCATTCTGTAGGTTGCCTGTTCGCTCTGATAGTAGTTTCTTTTGCTGTTCAGAAGCTCTTTAGTTTAATTAGATCCCATTTGTCAATTTTTGCTTTTGTTGCCATTGCTTTTGGTGTTCTACACATGAAGTCCTTGCCCATGCGTATGTCCTGAATGATAATGCCTAGGTTTTCTTCTAGGATTTTTATGGTTTTAGGTCTAACATGTAAGTCTTTAATCCATCTTGAATTAATTTTAGTATAAGGTGTAAGGAAGGGATCCAGTTTCAGCTACGTATGGCTAGCCAGTTTTCCCAGCACCATTTATTAAATAGGGAGTCCTTTCTCCATTTCTTGTTTTTGTCAGGTTTGTCAAAGATAAGATGGTTGTAGATGTGTGGTATTATTTCTGAGGGCTCTGTTCTGTTCCATTGGTCTATATCTCTGTTTTGGTACCAGTACAAGGTAATTTATAGATTCAGTGCCATCCCCATCAAGCTACCAATGCCTTTCTTCACAGAATTGGAAAAAACTACTTTAAAGTTCTTATGGAAACAAAAAAGAGCCCACATCGCCAAGACAATCCTAAGCCAAAAGAACAAAGCTGGAGGCATCACACTACCTGACTTCAAACTATACTACAGGCTACAGTAACCGAGACAGGAGGATATTCTTCATGTTTTTAGATCAGTAGCACACTGAATACTGCAAGTAAATGAGTACTGCACATTTCAGTATCACTGAGTGAATTTCTAATGTTCTCATCACAAAAAATGTGAAATATTTCAGCTGATAGCTGTGTTAATTCACTTCATTTTTCTACATTGTACTTAAAATCACAACACACTTTTTAACCCCGTAAATACACATACTTTGTCAATATACGATAAAAATTTTTTAAGGGGCTGGGCGCGGTGGCTCATGCCTGTAATCCCAGCACTTTGGGAGGCCAAGGTGGGCAGATCAACTGAGGTCAGGAGTTCGAGACCAGCCTGGCCAACATGGCAAAACCCCATCTTTACTAAAAATTCAAAAATTAGCTGGTGTAGTGGCACATGCCTGTAATCCCAGCTACTCGAGAGGCTGAGGCAGGAGAATCACTTGAACCCGGGAGGCGGAGGTTGCAGTGAGCCAAGATCGTGCCATTGCCCTCCAGCCTGGGCCACAGAATTACACTCTCTCTCAAAAAAAAAAAAAAAAAAAAAAATTTAAAGCAAGTAAATGCCACAGGATATCCAACAAGAGGTTTATTGTGAGAAATGGAAGAGGAAAGGCATCCCTGCTGGAGGCTGCAGCCTGGTGTCCCTGCAGCAGGGACAGGTGTCAAGAGCAGCCCGGGGCCAGGGGAGTGAGAGGAGCCTGCAGGACCCAGGAAGGAGCAGCAACCTCGGATTCCCACAGGGGCACACAGCATGCTGGGGAACGGGCAGCACTCAGCGTGGTCAGCACTGACCTTCCTCCTCAACCTGCCCCTGGCCCCGCAAGTCCTGAGCCCCGCCCGGTGCCTCCGAGGTGCCACTGGCACCAGCGCGAGTGCTCATAGCTGCCAGAGGCAAGGTGTGGAAATCTGCATTAATGTAATCTGATAACGTTTTGTTGGTAAATTACGTAGACACTCTTATACTAAGTTTATCTTATACCCAAAGTCTGCTTTAAACAAAATTGGTGATTCTATAATTGTATTTTAAACAGAATTGAAAGTAATTGGATACAGTGCACTGAGTGTTTTTCTCTTTTTTGCACAAAAGAGCTTCCCAGCAGGAGCTGACTGACAAAATCTTTTACGTTTCCAAGTGATTCAAATGATAAAAATGATAATGAATGTTTGCTTGTCTCCATGAGGCTTTTATTCTCCTCTTGGTGTACATGAACAACTTCTCTTCACCTGAACAATAGTTAAGAATGCAAATGTTATGGGAAGATCGACTTGCTAATTGTATTTAATTTTAATGTGATAGGTATGGGTTCAGGTTCTTACCCCGGAAGTTATCGGGCACACCAAGTCCTTGGGAGGCTCTGGGCACCTGCGTTGACTGTGCCGTCCCGTGAGATGGAACGTGTCAGCAGTTCTTTTTTGACTGCCTGGTACGGGACTGGAAGAAGGTTGGGTCTTTAATTGGCTGTTATCAGCCCTCCTTCTAAACCACAGAGCAGAGCACTCCTGCAAAGACTGCAGGAATTCTGCTTCAAAATGTTCCACCTCTTGGAACAATGCCAGAATTATTCTGTTAAAAACCATCTTATCTTCCTGCTGTAAAACTGAGAAAAAATCAGTCTTCTCGTTAATCACTTAATATGCACATCCTAATTATATATATAAGCGTTTTCACTTATACCCTGCTATGTTCTCTAACATAGTGCAAGATAATAGAAGGCCTTTTGCTCTCAAAAATAAAAATAAAAACAAGCAGAAATCCTGTCCCACCTGTCTCATGCCCTGGTGTACAGACCCTCGGCCTTGTGTCCCCGATCGGGAAGGTCAGATTCCCAGGGCTGATGGCCCCGTCTGTGGGTCAGACCCTGCCCACGTGCAGAGCACCACTTAGAATTATTATCAACTAATTGAAATGCAAATTCCAAGTCCTACTGAATCCAATTTACTGCATTTCTAAATTAGCTTATGTATTAGTGATTGAGATACTGGACTTGCTTATATATTAACATTTGAAATACTTGAATAACTAATTCAATTCTGATTGTGATGAAAGGTAGACCAAATAATTTCATTTGGAGGCCTTTGCTTTTTTTTCTGCTTAGTTCAATTAGAAAGTCAAAGCTCTAATAATTTTGAATGTCTCTGGGTCATTCTCTAATGAAGGTAGCACTTTAAATTTATAAAGAAAAAAGAGCTTATTTCAAAGATACTTCATATCATATGTAAAGATAAATTCTGATGGATTAAATATGTAAGCATTAAAATCGTATATATACACACACATATATGTGTGTATATATATAGACACATATGTATATGAGTATTCTGTACTCTGGGGGTGGAGAAGACGTATCTGGGCATGATTCCATGGGGCGTAATTATAAAGATACCACTTTAAATTCATAAAATTAAAAACTTATTTATGATACAAGCCAACAAGCAAACTAAAAATAATATCGCCAAAGTAAAATCATAATAAAAACCTGAGAGTTTTTCAATATAAGTAACAAATGTTTATATTTTTAATATATAAAGATTGCCTTACAAATCAATAAAGAAAAAAATGAATGACGCAGTGCAAAAATGAATAAAGGCCAAGCAAAGACTATTCATCTACCTTATCAATAACTAAAACGTTTGGAGAGCATGCCATTTAAAACTGAAAATCTAAAAGTTTATTCTAGAGAAATTCCTGAGAAGCATGCAAAGACGTAAAAAATACAGCCACGTTCACTATTGTGTTACATATCGTTGCGTGACACGGTACATTGCCTAAGTGCCCATCGTGGGCGTTGGTTTGGGTGATGTGGGGGCACTAAGGAAGCCCCCACCATGCGCTGCTA
The DNA here is from genome assembly GCF_000001405.40 of Homo sapiens. Taxonomy (NCBI): domain Eukaryota; kingdom Metazoa; phylum Chordata; class Mammalia; order Primates; family Hominidae; genus Homo; species Homo sapiens. The sequence goes on from NT_187565.1 coordinate 285,414, forward strand.
CCACCCTCAGCAAAAGGCTGCTCTGGAGGAGGTAAAGTGTGTGCTGCAGCACAGGCAGCCGCAGGGCAGCACGACTCAGCCAGCTCTGCACCTGACCTGATGGCCTCAACACCTCCACCGAAAGCCTGATGGAATAAGAGCCCCGCCCATTTCCCAGCACTGATACCATTCACATCCATTCCCACTGTTCTGTACACGATGACCAAGATTTCATCAAAATTTAGGAGACACCGTAAAATTAAAGCTCATTCTCAAGACACAGGGCAATCAATACAAGATTCAGAAGTGACATGGATGTTCCTTCAAACTCTCAGAGAAAACGTGAAAGTAACTATAGTTATGCGATCAAGCAGCGGCACAGTGGGCCTGGCTAAATGGGAAGCAGTGGAGAGAGGAGAACTCTAAGAAAGAGGCAGAGGGAAAGACCACAGATGGGGTTCATGGTTTCAGAAATAAAGGATTTTGCTGGTGAGTCATCAGCAGGCTCGACATAACGAAGAAATCAGTGACCTTGAAGATAGGTTCATGGAAATTACCCAGCGGAGGCTCGAAGAGAAAGCGTGGGAATCGAAAGGCAGAAAAGAGCATCCGAGAGCTGCAGAGAGCTATCAAATGTTCTCACACACATAGAACCTGAATCCCAGCCAGAAAGACGAAAGCAGAGCAGAACAGAAGAAACGTGGGAAGCACTAATGCCAGGGAGTTTCTAACATTAGAAAGATAGATCACATCACAGACTGAAGAACCTGAGAAAATCTCAAAGACAGATCAACACCAGAAACAAAACCCCATACACATCTACACACCACAGTCGAACTACCAGAAGTGAAGGATACAGACAAACCCCCACACATCTACATACCACAGTCAAACTACCAGAAGTGAAGGATACAGACAAAACCCCACACATCTACACACCACAGTAAACTACCAGAAGTGAAGGATACAGACAAAACCCCACACATCTACACACCATAGTCGAACTACCAGAAGTGAAGGATACAGACAAAACCCCACACATCTATACACCACAGTAAACTACCAGAAGTGAAGTATACAGACAAAACCCTGCACACATCTACACACACCACAAACTACCAGAAGTGAAGGATACAGACAAAACCCCACACATATACACACACACCACAGTCAAACTACCAGAAGTGAAGGATACAGACAAAACCCCACACACATCTACACACCACAGTCAAACTACCAGAAGTGAAGGATACAGACAAAACACCACACATCTACACACCACAGTCAAACTACCAGAAGAGAAGGATACAGACAAAACCCCACACACATCTACACAACACAGTCAAACTACCAGAAGTGAAGGATACAGACAAAACCCCGCACATATATGCACCACAGTCAAACTACCAGAAGAGAAGGATACAGACAAAACCCCACACACATCGACACAACACAGTCAAACTACCAGAAGAGAAGGATACAGACAAAACTCCACACATATACACACACCACAGTCAAACTACCAGAAGTGAAGGATACAGAAAAAACCCCACACACATATACACACCACAGTCAAACTACCAGAAGTGAAGGATACAGACAAAACTCCACACATATATACACCACAGTCAAACTACCAGAAGTGAAGGATACAGACAAAACTCCACACACATCTACACACCACAGTCAAACTACCAGAAAGATACAGACAAAACCCCACACATATACACACACCACAGTCAAACTACCAGAAGTGAAGGATACAGACAAAACACCACACACATCTACACACCACAGTCAACCAGAAAGATACAGACAAAACTCCACACATATACACACCGCAGTCAAACTACCAGAAGTGAAGGATACAGATAAAACCCCACACACATACACACACCACAGTCAAACTACCACAAGTGAACGATACAGACAAACCCCCACACACGTCTACACACCACAGTCAAACTACCAGAAGTGAAGGATACAGACAAACCCCCACACATATATACACACCATAGTCAAACTACCAGAAGTGAAGGATACAGACAAAACACCACACATCTACACACCACAGTCAAACTACCAGAAGTGAAGGATACAGACAATCCCCACACACATGTACACACCACAGTCAAACTACCAGAAGTGAAGGATACAGAAAAAACCCCACACACGTCTACACACCACAGTCAAACTACCAGAAGTGAAGGATACAGACAAAACCCCGCACACATACACACCACAGTCAAACTACCAGAAGTGAAGGATACAGATAAAACCCCACACATGTACACACCACAGTCAAACTACCAGAAGTGAAGGATACAGACAAACCCCCACACACATGTACACACCACAGTCAAACTACCAGAAGTGAAGGATACAGACAAGCCCCACACACATGTACACACCACAGTCAAACTACCAGAAGTGAAGGATACAGATAAAACCTTAAAAAAAAAAAAAAAGAAAGAAAGAAAATTATAGACCATTATGTACAGAAGAATAAAGAATTACAGCACACTTTTCATCGTAAATGATTCTGGCCAGAACACCGTAAAGTGACATACTTAAAACAGGAAAAGACGTTAGCCCAGAATTCTAGAATGAGAGAAAATATCTTTCATAAATCAAAATGAAAAAAGTCATCCTTAGGAAAAAAAAAAAAAAGCTAGGGAAATTCATTGCTAGCAGACCAGTACTGCAAGAAATAGGAAATGAAGTTCGTTCTTTTCTTTTCCCCCGCCAAGATGGAGTCTCGCTCCGTCACCCAGGCTGGAGTGTGGTGGCACAGTCTCAGCTCACTGCAACCTCTTTCTCCTGGGTTCAAACGATTCTCCTGCCTCAGCCTCCCGAGCAGCTGGGATTACAAGTGTGCACCACCACACCCGACTAATTTTTGTATTTTATATTTTTAGTAGAGACAAGAGTTTCACCATGTTGGCCAGACTGGTCTCAAACTCCTGACCTGAAATGGCCCACCCTCCTCGGCTTCCTAAGAAAGGAAGTTCTTTAAGCATGGCTCTGAAAGAAGAGGGCAGCAGGAACTTAGAACTGCAGTGAGAGGGAGGGCTGCATGTCTCGGTTTTGGTGGTGGCTGCATGACCGTGCATTTGCGGAAATTCTTACAGCCATGCAGAAAGTGAGACGCACTGACCCATTCAGCATCTGAACCAGAGCTGCAAAAGTGAATCTTATGAAACAATGGATCGTGGAGGATAAAACAGAATCCTGTGAAGCCATTTCTCCAAGGTGAGAAATAAACTGTATTCTTGTACGGGAAGAGAAGGGGCATACCTCAGCCTCCTGACACTTCCGTTTTGGGATATGTTTGTGAGTAGGCTATTTAAGTCATGAGATGGCTCCAAGCCTCTTCTCCCTCCCATCTGCCATGGGTTGGGTGAGGTGATCAAGTGAGTAACCAAGAGAACACCAGCTATTGATGGACGCATCTGAGAAGAGCTCAGAAGACGGGCTCAGATATTCCTCTGGCCCATGAGCCTGCCCTGGGATCACCTTTTGCTCCACACAGCGTAACACCACCATGCTGGGCAAGCTGGGTACCTGGCCTGGGGATCTCCTAGCATCCACTGGCCTGTGGCGGGTGGCTGTGCCTCCGTAGGCAGGGAGCGTCGGGGCTGCTTTTGAGACCTTGCAGAGTCAGGCTGACATCTGATTAAGAAGCCTTTCAAAGAAATCACAGTTTTTGCAGAATCCATCTAGAAAGATGAAAGACCCTTCAGAGCCACTTCCTGTGTTTCTAAGCCCAGCAGTCCTGACGTTTTTGCCTTTCCTGATGCTGAGACTCCATTTGGTATCTGGGCTCTCACAGCTTCCTTCAGATCACTCAGCTCCTAGCACCTCTCGGCCACCAGCTCCAAGTCCTGCCTCTCACATCAAAGGCTGATCTCACGTCTCAGCTTTCTGTTTGAGACCCTCCACGCGCTGGTTGCAGGGGTTTGCCTGATCCCAGTGCAGATCCTTCGTGATCTGCCCCCGGAAAGCCTTGTTCCCCTGACAATTTTCTTCCTCCTCGCTCCTCTGACTTGAAGTCGGCTGTTCACCGTCTCCTCCTTGCTGCCGGTCATCCTTCCATGCCCAGCTCTGATTGCCTCCTCTGGGAAGGCTCCCTGGAGTTACGTCCCCTGCAGCATATTTCCTCACTGCTCGTGCTTGTCTCTACCACATGCCTGTTTGCTTTCCCGAGAGTCCCTATAGCCTTTGAAAGCAAGAGCTGTCTCATTTATCATTGCCATTGCGCCTTCACTGTGAGGCATTATATGTGCTCCTCACACACTGGATGAATGGATAAAACCATCGTCTTATGACTCATTTGTCAGGGATTATTGATAATCAACTTAATAAATGAACTGCTATTAGCGACGCCGATAAAGTAATCCTGTTTAGAGCCTAAACATAAAGATAATCAATTTAAAAGACGTGTGCAAAGCTGATTCACATTCACCTGATTTCTTAAGCTCCTTTAGGTTCTATTAGTCAAAACGGGAGCAGACGCCAGACTCCTCGTGCATGCCACACACCTGCAACCTGCAGTTCTTCAGTTAATAGGAAGCCATATGCTCCTGGGGAGGAGGCATCCTCTCTCACAGTCTCCTCCACTACCGTGGGCTGCTGGCTCTTCATTTTTAGTTTCAGCTGGAGGGAAGCGGAGGGGAGATTCTGGTCCAGCCTGTGTTGCAACCGTTGCCAGCACGTGCAGAGAGAGCATTTGCACTCTGATCGGTCCAGCCCTAGGGGTTCCCAGGTCCCTGACGATGTCTCTCCTCAGAAGCTCAGGCATCTGGGCATGAGGTGAGGACCTGGGGATTCGAATGGCACTTGGCACTTGCTCCTGGGGGTCTCTGCCCATCAGGGAAGCAGCTCACCCCACACCCGGCGGACCCAACAGGCAGCCATGAAGAAGGGCACCAGAACATTATCCATCCACCTGTTTCGTGCTGTTTCCAGTATCTTACCTTACATCTCTTCATGGATTTCATTGTTTCTCTAGTAAATTCTTCACTTTTTACCTCATTTCTTTCTTCTTGTGCATACCAACTCTAGTCTTATTCTAACTTTTTTCTATTAGAAAAAATGTCCTTAACGTTAAATCAAAAACTTAAGTACAATGAAAGACAAATTAAAAACTTCCATTTTTAAATTTTGTGCTTTACTTATTCTTTTCTGTTATTTCTATGTTTCTCATATTTTACTTCAACATCTAGTTTTTGGCCTGCTACAACTGATATTGTTTTCATGAAGACCTTAGTTAAGAGGGAGGCTCCTAAGACTGGCGCCTGGTTTGTTCATTAATACTCCTGGCTGTGAATGAGGGCTCACACCTGTGATCCCAGCACTTTGGGAGGCGGAGGCGGGCAGATCACTTGAGATCAGGAGTTTGAGACCAGCCTGGCCAAGATGGCAAAACCCTGTCTGTACTAAAAATACAAAAAATTAGCCAGGCATTTTGGCCCGTGCCTGTAATCCCAGGTACCCAGGTGGCCGAGCCAGGAGAATTGCGTGAATCTGGGAGGCGGAGGTTGCAGTGAGCTGAGATTGCACCACTGCACTCCAGCCTGGGCAAAAGACCGAAAAAGAAAAAAAAATACTCCTTAGGGCTGTCAGTTCAGGGGGCTGTAGTGAGTGCTGTCTTTTACCATCCAGCACTTTTATGGCGAACTGCAACTGAAAAACACATAATCCACAGACCACGTAAGCTTTTCTTTTTTTAACCCAACTGTGCCATTGCAGGTGCAAACAAGAAATGCAGCTTAGCGAGCTCACCACAGGGAGACATCCCTAGAGATGCGTCTCTGGAAAACCTGGCGGCCCCGTGCCCCCACCACCCAGCCGTGGGCAGTGCCTGGGCAGTACTGTAGCCAGCCTCTCCATACACTCGCAGTCCATTCATTAAATCAGTTATTAAACTGATGCTTAAACTGTAAAATTATGACTCATTGTAAAGAGCTAACACACGTAATTGTGTGAAGTGGAGTGTCACTCTGTCTCTGGCATGTCCATCGCCAGGGGTTTCCACTGCCCATGACTTTATCCTGTCCGGACACTTTCGTGTGTGTATAAAAATATACACATATGGGCGTAGTTTACAATAAACATGAGGTCCCACTGCACGCATTACTGTACAATTTCCTTTTTTCTCCCAAATATTTTGTTAGTTTTCCGTTGCTGTCATAAAAACTGCCACAAACTTAGTGTCTTAAAACAGGGCGTTTATCCTCAGCCAAGTCCTGCAGGTCATGAGCCAACACGGGTTTCTCTGGGCTAAGGCCGAGGTGTCGGCAGCCTGCCCTCCTTCCGGGTCTCTCTGGGCTAAGGCTGAGGTGTCGGCCGTTGGCCCTTCTTTCCGGGGATCTGCGTGGGGAGTGGTTTTCTTTCACATCAAGATGTTACAGTTGCGGGACCGAAGCCCCGTGTCCTTGTTGTCAGCTGAAGTCAGCCCCCTGTTTCCAGAGGCCACCCACAGGGATGTGTTAGCTCTGGCCCCTGCCTGCATCTTCAGAGCCAGCTGGACGGGGTGTGGGGTCTCTCTCACTCTGCAGACCCCTCCTGTCTCACGTCCACATCGATCTCCGACTTGCTCTGCCTTCCTCTTCTGCTTTCAATGCTCCTGCGCTGAGAGGGGGCCTGCCTGGGTCATCAGGAGATTCTCACTACCCCGGGGTCTGCTGGTTAGCAACCTCGATTCCACCTGCAACCTTCATGCCCGCTTGATGTGTAGCGTAACGTGTTCACAGATGTGGCACCAGCGTGGAAGGCCCTAGGGGTCAGAGTCCCGCCTGCAGAGGTACCACGTGCGTCCTTCTGTGGCGGACTCTAGGCCCAGATGTCACTGGACGGACACACTGCTGCGTGACTTTAACATTACCGTTGGGGAACTGCCTCTATGTTTTTATTACTGCACAGAGTGTTGTAAAGAAAATATTTGCGAATGCTCAACCACCAGTCTACTTATTGCCAAGGTATCTCTTCTTCTGGGTAGCATCATAAGGGGATTTTCTGGGCATGTGGCTCCCTCTGAAGCTT